>NW_021160012.1:204956-409912 GCF_000001405.40 Homo sapiens
GCCTGGAGGGGACATGAATGCCTCCCTGAGGTGACATTATGTTGTGACCAGAATGACAACAGAGAGCCAGTCCTGCGCAGGTGTGCAAAGTGTGTCAGGGAAAAGCCACTCTTTGTGAAGAGACTCACAGGCACAGGTGAGTTCAGCAGAGGAGGTTATAACGGGACAATTGTGGCGGCAGGCAGCCTGAGAAAGAAAGGAAAAGAGGGGAGGGAGGATCCTGGGGACTGAAAGAGGAGATTAGTCATTTGCCCCTCTCTGACAAAATTTCCCTGAATTTTAGCACATGTTGACAACAAATACTATCTCACAACTTTTGTGAACCAGAATCTCGATATAGCTTAGTTGGGTGCCTCTGCCTCAAGGTCTCTTACGAGGCTGGGGCTGTGATTTCAACTGAAGCTGGATTTGAGGAGAGATCAGCCTTCTATCTGCCTCATGGAAACTGGCACGATTCAGTGTGAACTGAGAGCCCGAGTTCCTTCCTCTCGATTGGCCTGGGCATCTCCTCAGTTCTCTATCATGTGGGTCTGTGCCTAGAGCATCTTAGGACACTGCAGATCACTTCCTCATCTTGAGGATTACAATACAGAGATGAAAAATGAAAGAGATAGACAGACATATGCAGAGAAAAAGAGAGAAAGGGAGACAGAGAGATTGAGAGAGGACACACAGGACAGAGCAAGTAAGAGGAAAATAATAGCTGTTTTAGAAATATAACTTTGGAAGTTGCAGAAGACTATGTGATTCCCCACCATGTTCACATACCAGAACCTTAATCCCCAGTGTAATGGCCTTAGCAGGTCAGAGGTAATTAAGTCCGAAGCATGAGGACCTCATGATAGCGATTACGGGCTTTGTAAAAGAAACCGCAGAAGGCTGTCTCTCCCTCTCTCTGCTAAATGAGAAAACAACCTGAAGTCTGGAGTTTGAAACTCAGAAGAGAGTCCTTACCAGACCCCAACCATGCTGGAAGCCCAATCTCAAATTTCTGGCCTCTAGAACTAATGTTTTTTATTTATAAGTTGCCTAGTCTATGTTTTTTGGTATAGAAGTCTGAACTAAGTCAGAAGTGATAACCTATCACATTTGTTGTTTTCCCTTTGACAGAAACTAGAACCAGGTCCCCAAAGAGTTCATCCAATGACTAACAGAAATTCTTCAGTTTGCAGAATGACAGATAAGAAAAGATACAACTTGTTGAAAGAATGAAATTTATTCCACTTATGAGACTTCTAAAAAGTGGCTAAAATTGGTCGGAACCAATATGGTCAACTGGAGTCTGTGTGAAATAAGCTCACTGATGTCAGAGCCCAAATTTCCATCACATGTTTTGTACTAACTGTCCCCAAATTTGCACATGTGATCTGTGTGTAGCAAGAAAAAATAGTTGTTCATGCCCAGTGATTTTCCATACATTTTTCCTTTAAGCAATTCCGTACTAATCCAGAACCTACCTCCTAAAACCTTTCTGAGAATATTACTACCTTTAAGTAAGCACAGGGAAACAGACTTGAGCTGGAATCCCATCTCTCTGTTAGAAACCCGGTGTTATAGTACCTGCTTCTGAGGCACTGAGAGGTGAGCTGCGTTTTAAAATAACAGAGTCACTCACAACTTAGTGTTGTTGTGAGACTTTGTTGGGGGTGCCCACCACATAGGCTGAGATGAGGCATATACATATGATTCTAAATATAATGCACAGCACTGGAATATTTAATGCCAGAAGACAGTATCTGATTTTCTTTTAATTTCAACCTCTTCTGCTGTGGAATGGAAAATTAAGGCCATATATATAAAATATATATCTTTTATGTATAAAGATACATAAACTATGTATCTTTTATATATAAAGATATATATGTATAAGTTTATATATTATATATAGTTATATATAATTGATATATATATAGTTATATATAATATATAAATAAAAATATTTATATACATTATATATATATATATTTTTTGAGACACAGTCTCGCTCTGTCACCCAGGCTGGAGTGCAGTGGCAGGATCATGGCTCAATGTAATCTCTGCTTCCTGGGCTCAAGTGATTCTTACACCTCAGCCTCCTGAGTGGCTGGGATTACAGGCATGCATCAACACATCTGGCTAATTTTTGGATTTTTCGTAGAGAAGGGTTTTTGCCATGCTGGCCATGGCTGGTTTCAAACCCCTGGCCTTAAGTGTTCCAGCTGCCTTGGTCTACCAATCTGCTAAGATTACAGCAAGAGCCACTGCATCCAACCGATTTTGATTCATTCTATCTCATATATCACCAAAGACTGTTTTTGGAAGTTGATGTTAGCATAATCCCATTATGCATACTTCAGGGCTGGGGAGACCTGAAGCACACAGTCATTTTCATATGGTCACAGAAATGAAAAGGAAAAGAAGATTTTAACCCAACTCTGTTCTCTCAAACCTGGGGCCCTGGCTGCATTTAGAACTTTTTGGGAATTAAGGGACATAATTGTGTTTGCATAACTGTTTACAGGTAAAGAGTTGACATGGGAGAGGAGGGTGAGCAATCAGCAGCCCAGCAGGGACTTTGCGTAGATTTATGGAGGAAAAGGGCTCAGGGGATAAAACCTTGAAGAAGTTAACAGACTTCCCTTGTGACAAAACCTAACAGAATTTAGAACTTTGGGAACCAGAAACCCACATTCTAGAGACAGCCCTGTATCTAGCTAACTTCTTGGGAGATGCTTGAGAGGGCACTGTGTTCTCATTGTGTTATATTCCCAAGCTGTTGCCTGAGAAAGGCTCAAAGTGAGAGCCTTTTCTGACAGTATACATACTGGCTCAGCCTACATCCTTGATACCACTGGCCATTCGACAAGAGGCACCCACAGGTAACACAGTTTAGCCCAGGGCAGGTCCGTCCATGCCAGGCCACCTGTGTCATCTAATCTGGGCAACCCGACCCTGCCTACCATTACCCTGTGTTGCAAGGGGAGCAGGAAAGGAGGGGGCTTTTCCTCACAGGGGCAGGTTTTAAGACACAGGAACCCTGGTGGGTCTGTCATGTTCATACCCAGGTCACGGTTGGTGGAATAAAAAGTTGTGAGTTGCGGACCAAGTACGTCTACTCAGATGTGAATCCCAAGGCCTTAAGCTGTCCTCGGGTTTCCTCATTGGCTGGGGGTCTATGCAGATACTCCTATGTTCCTGATCTAGGAAACAGAATTTCTAATGCAGATGTCACCTGGTGGTAAAAACAAAGAAGACAATTAACTTTTTTCGCTGCTGGGAACACTCTTTGTAGAGCTGCATTAAAATCAGTGAGCAGATATTTGATGGGTTCAAGTCCCCCATCTCCTTGGACAACTGGCAGGTTCACCACACCCCCCAAGCATGGCATACAATGAGTTATGTTGAGAGCAGGCACATGGGGTTCTCTACAGAGAGGGACCTGACAAAACCAGGATGGGTCCAGGATCCAGACCCAAATATGGAATTTCTCTGCGCTTTCTCCTAGGGGATTTCCATGAGTGACCCTCAGATCTACCCCCCAAAAATCTAGCCTTAACTGGTCCCAGTGGCAACTTGGTTAAGTGTAAAGTCCCTTTTTACATTCTTGTAGAAATATCAGAGAAGGCCTTTGTGTTGTTTTTACTTTACACTAGGCTGCATTTATTCATGTTACTACAGTTTGTATAGTTTTAATTATTCCCCTCTGATATCATCTGTAGCAAGCAGGTTCATGGTACTGCCAGACTTTCTCCAAGACTTGAAAGCCACCACTATCACTAATACTCTACAAAAATAGGGAAGAGTTTACATGAAAAAGGGGTTATATTGTTTCCTACATTTGTCTGCAATGTGTCATCTAAGAGAACTCATCCCAGTAGCCCATCAGGGCAGAAGTGGTGCCCTCACATCTCTTTGTAATGTTCTATAATGGGGGTCACTTCCCAGAGTGGTTTAGCCTTTCAATGGCTATTATTTCTGATCAAAATGGAATAAAACTAGAAATGAATAACAGAAGAAAACAAAAATAGCAACATATATATGGAAATTAAACAACTCACTTTTGAGCATGCTCATGTTTAAGGGTTGTAAGACTTAATATTATGAATAATGCTTATGATGTCTAAAGCGAGTTACAGATTCAATGCAATCCCTTTTAAATTAAGAACTTTTTTTTTGAAATAGAAAAAGGAACCAACAAATTATATGGAATGTCAAGCGACCATAAAGAGCCCCAAAATGTTTAAAAAAAACAATGTTAGTGACCTCACCTTTTCTGATTTCAAAGCACATTACAAAGCAACAGCAATGAAAACAGTTTGTTTCTGGCATAAACACAGACAATTTTTCCAATAAAACAGAAGGTAGCACACATGTAAACCTCACACATATGAGCAAATAGCTATTTGCATACCAATATTCATTGCAGCATTATTCAGAAATGCCAATAGGTGAAAGCAACACAAATTTTCCTCATAGAATGAATAAATAAATAAAATTTGTAATATAAAACTAATGGAATATTACTTAGCTTTTAAAGGCAGAAAATCTTGTACCATCCACAATAAAGAGGAATCTTGAGAACATAATGCTAAGTAAAATTAGTCACAATAAAACAGATACTCTATGATTCTACTTATATGTAATATCTAAAGTATTGAAACTTAGAACCAGAAAATAGAATGATTTTTATCAGGAGCCAGGTGGTAAGGACAATGGGTAGTTGTCATTTCATGTGTACTGAGTTTTAGTTTTGCAAAAGAAAAAATTTTACAAATATGTTGCTTAACAATGTAAATACACTTAACATGACTGAACTGTATAAGAAAAAATATTAAAGATTCTAAATTTTATGTTATGTATTTTTACCACAATCGAAATTAAAAATGACACCCAAGGGCCAAGAGTGATCACTCATGCCTGTAATCGCAGCACTCTGGGAGGCTGAGGCATGCAGGTTACTTGAGGCCATAAGTTCAAGACCAGCCTGGCCAACATGGTGAAACCCCAGCTTCATGAAAAATACAAAAATTAGCCAGGCGCGGTGGTGCACAACTTTAATGCCAGCTACTCAAGAGGCAGCAGCTGGAGAATTGCTTTAACCTGGGAGGTGGAGGTTGCAGTGATCCAAGATTGTGCCACTGCACTTTGGCAACAGGGTGAGAGTCTGTCAAAAGAAAAAAAAAAAAAAAAAAAAGACACCCGAAGGGACAGAGTTACAAAGTTTCTGAAAAATTATCTTCAAATCACATAAATCTTTCCTTCACACTAAGATAATATAAACAATAGATGTTGAAATTAAGACAATTTCCATGATTACTCACTTAGACAGAATAAATTATTGGCCATCAAATAAGAAGAAAATATAAAAGTCATAAACAAAATAGGGGCAATATTTATACAGGCAAACAAACAGTTAAATCATTGTATTAACAAAAGACATAGGGATGGTTCATATTTGACTTCTGCCCCACACTGTCTTAATGCATACAGAGTTGAATATTGTTATACAATATTATATTATACAAATTAAAACTTAAAACAATAAACTAATATAAGGTGCCCTACCCTAAAACATGAAACACAGAAATGTAAAATTGCAAAACAAAGTTAAAATAAACATTAACCCCCAAATTCTTATTTGAATAATGAAATTCAAAATCATAATAAATAGGTAGAAAGTAAAAACACAATTAACTGATGTGAGACAGCCTACTCTAAAAAATACAGAAACATAAAATTATAAAACATAATTAAGAGAAACTTTAATCCATAAAATCCTGAATAAACATAGTGTCCAAATGAAAAAGAATCCCAGGTAACTACAATTTTTAACTCTTCCTGTGAATCTATGAAAAGTATGAATTTTGAATTATTTGGATACAGTTAGGGCAACAACATTTCAGAGAAAACACATTATAATTAATACAAAGAGCTGTGATGAGAAAGTTTTAAGGAATAAGCATTTAAGTAATACTAGAGAAAGTTTTAAATTATGCTACTGATGCATTGCTGCTTTTCTTACACAAAACGATAAGGCTGTAATCTAGCTTTTAATTGAAAAGTCTTACATTTCTAAATATGGTAACAATATAAATATTGTAAATACAGTATAAAACATTGACATATAAAATAAAAATTGGAAATAAATTGTACTATTAGTCAAATAAAAGTTGGGAAAACTGGAAGAAGATGCTAATAGTAACATTGTGCCTAGAGTCAATTAAACATACAAGCCAAATATTTTAATAAATTATAAATTATATAATTTATACATAATATATACATTTGAGCATGCTATTTTACAACTTCTGAAAGGAAATTACAGACAAATGTGACACATGATAATTCAGAAAGTGAAAACACAGTCATAGTAATCTTCATATTAAAGAAGACAGAATCATAAAATACTAAGTGAGAAATAAAGTAATAATTGTGAATTCAATATATGTTGAACAATATTCTAATTTCCCTTACGGAAAAAGTTTTTGTAAGAAATCAGTAAAATGAGTACATACAATAAACCATCCTACAGTAGAGGCTGTTGGCATATAGAGTTTACATTTCTATGATTAGGTCCTACTAAGAAAAAGGAAATTTTAAAATAAAATACTTAGATTTTCCTATTTAATAAGATAATTTTTGCCTATAAAGTTTTTCAGTCTAATTTTCTTGTAGAATTAGGTTTTAGCCATCGTAAAACTTGACATTATGAAGCAGAAAACAGGTGTCATCTGTCTCTGGTGTTCCTGGAATTTCTAACCCAAATGCCAATTCCTCCACAACTCCCTTCACACACTTCTGAATTGAAGCACAACAGATTTATTAAAATTGGCATAACAGCGGTCTCCAGAAATGTGCAGAGATTTTCCCAGATCCCCAAAATCAATGACAAACTATTCAGATCATTTAGGTTCTCACAAGATTCTGGGAGGACTTTGGCTTTCAGTGTGAACGCACTGGAAGATTCTAAGAGAGAGGGAGAGAGAGAGAATGTGTGTGTGTTGAAATCAGAACCCCACCTTATGTGTTTATTGTGGAAATTGAAAATGAAAGCCTAAAGTTGAAAATTAAAATCACACATGATAGCACGTTGCAAACTGTTTTCTGTGCTAGATGGGTCGTTCTAGGGTGTAGGACCCTGGAAACACCGTTTTCCCCTCCTTCCGGAAAGAGCTACTCACACTGCTCAAAGCCTGCATCCACATGTACCATGTCGAAGACCAGCTCAAGAGCCTGGACCCATATGCCACCTTCAGCAGGGTTGACTGCAGCTTCTTGTTCTTCCTGAGCATCTTCTCCAATGGTGACCTGAGAGTTGCGGGAGGCATTGGGGCCAGGATTGAACAGAGGAAAAAGGAGCACGGAGGCCAGGTGCTGAGGACCAGGCCATCTCACCTGGAGAGTTCTGGCCCTGAGACATCCAGACCAGCATGATGTTTAGGTGCAGACAGCTGGCCCTGGGTGGCCCTGTGCTGATCACCGGCCTCAGCCCCTCAAACAGTGGGAAATGGAAGAATGGCTTGGAAATGGGCCCTGTCGACAGTGTGTCACCTGAGCACATTCTCCCAGGGGCCCAAGAGGGGCCATCGTGTCTCTAGAACCAGAACTGGAAGGTGAAACTGCCAGGGGGAACAAGGAAGAGGGTCCTCAGTTGGGTGGAGGGTCTCACAGCAAGACGCCTGGCTTAATCAAGCTTGGCCATTCCTGAAGCACGTTCAGTGACTAAAAGTGCCTACCATGAGCAGCTGGAACACACTCTCTGAGAGCTGCAAGATGCATGGGGACCTCAAGTACCTGTTTGTAATTACAGCCAAGGACCAGCAGGCAGCATTGCTGCATCCACATGGGCTTTTGCTGGAACCAGTAAGTCTCTGCCAGCCCCTCCCAGGCTCCTGGGATGCCACTTGTTCTGGGTCTGTGGACAGATAACCAGGACACTTACTCAGTGAAGCCCATCGCTCAACCCCAGCCCCACCATACCCTGTCTCCTATGCCATTCCTCATCCCAGAAGGAAAGGCAATGCCTTTGTCCCACAGCCCCTGCCTTGTGTCATCTCATGTGGGGGTATGGAATGAACCCGTCAGCCTAAACTCCAGTCCTTCTGCCTGAGGAATCTGTCCCCGCTGTCTTAGTCGCCCTCTAGGGAGCTGTCAGTGGGATAAAGAGCAGCCCTGGAAGAGAGGCCCACCTTCTTCTGTTTGACTTCAGGACAGCCTTTCAGGGCAAGAACCCAGAGCAGATGGAGGCCTCACAGAAGGCTGTGGCAGGGCTCTCGGCTTGGTGGGCTAAGCATCTCCCTCTCTGATGACTGCCATGGGGCCCACAACCACTCATTCAAGAGGGTCACCACCACATTGCAGGTGTTCAGCTGGACGGTTCCCCAGGCAGAGCCTGCCATGGACTGCATACACACAGAGGATGCACACCTTGAAGTTGGACAATGAGGAGAACATTCCTGAAGAGGTGCATGCAGCCTGGCCCTGCCCTCACTGGGAACCCCCTTCCATCTGGGTACTAGACAGAATTCTGTGCACTTTTCTGGAGGCTCCATGCTGGTCTGTTCATTTGGAAGTTTGATGCTGTCCGTGAGGAAGTAACAAAAGAGATATCTCAGAGCAGGTTGTGGGGCACAGGCTGAGAGATTTTCTCCCTCCCTAGTCCCTCTGCAGACACGGGGCTGGAACAAGAACCTGTGGATAATGAGGGAACTTCTCTTCGAGAACCGGCCTGAGCAGCTGCTTCAAGAAAGAGCCACATTAAAGTGCCTATAGCCCCTGATGAGGGAATGGTAGCCTCAGGCCCGCCTGCCATGTGTGAGCAGGTTTTCTTGCTATCAGGATGAAAGCAAAGAAAGCTGGAATGAGCCCAGCCCTCTCAGGCACCTTGAAGACTGTTGGGGTTCCTTCCAGCCCTTCTAGCCTTATGCTTTTTGGCAGGCCACTCAGGCACCTTTTTCCAGCCTCTGAGACTTCCATGCTCTGGAAGGAGAGGGTCCCACTTTTCACTAGGCTATGGGGCCAGGCCCATCCAGCTCCCGGCTTCCACTAACAACCATGGGGCTCTCACCTGGGCACACACTGCCCAAACATGGACCTTCTAAGGCAGAAGATCATGTGTCTTGCAGTTCCAGCTTTCTAGGGCTTAAAAGTTATCAGTGCTGTTATTAAGATAGGGAAGTGAGAAAGGAAAACTTGCTGTAAAAGTTTCCCATAATCTTACCACGGAGATCATCAGCACAGATGACAGCACAGGTAGGGCTGCTGGGGAGGCTGAAGGAGAGTGTCCAGCCTGTTCTGCCAGCTGGTCCTTGCCAGGGGTGTCTCGTGACCCAGTCCCTTAGAGAAGCATGCAGATATCTCAGCAAGTATCTGGAAGGTGCAGATCAGGGCAACCCAGCACTACTGATGGTGGAGTGGGCCTACCTCCCATCAAGCTGTGTCTCCACAGCTGACCCTTGTAACCAGGAGGTGTTTTACAACATGTGCAAGGCAGTGAGCTCCATCAGCTGTGTGGCATTCAACACTCACTTCAACTCGGACATCTCACCAGAAAGCAGTGGGGACTGGCCAATGCAGAAGCCTGCAAAGTGGAACAGAGCGTCATGGGGTGGGGGATGTGGGGCCTGCCTGCTCATCTGAGCACTGCTCCCTGAGGGTGTGATCTGCAGGCTTCCTGAAGGAGGGCTGTGAGCTCTTCTGCGAGGCCCTGAGCCTGTGGAACATAGCTGAGGCCAAGCCCATGGGGATTTGTGTCTACTTGCACCTCCTTGCTCATCTCAGTACACTACAGGTGACTGTGCCGAGGTGGGCCTTGAGCATCCCCTGGGCTGTGTCAGCAAACGGCTCTGGGCCTGGCCTGGCATTGAGGGATGGCAAAAAAGGAGCCTGGGGTTGCATTGTCATCCCCTATGGTAGCATAAAATGAGAGAGTCCAGACCTGCAGGACTGGAACCCTAACAAAGGGGTTAGGAGACTGCTCACTTTCCCTCAGGAACCCATGTGGAGGAGCTGAGGGAGGTTAAGGAGACCCTAGGGACTCACTTGTTCTGTCTGGGCTTCCCCCTGCTCCATCGTTTGATGACCATTTTCTGGGAAGAGCTCAGGAACCTCCTGTGCTCTAGTGAGACGGGGCCTCCCCTCACAGGGTATTCTGAGACTGTGAGTGAGAAGCTAACACAGTGCCTTGCAATACTCACGGGAGCTGTCATCCTCTGTGACCATCACGTGGCCTTGTAGTGTTCAGACTGCCTGGCCTGCCTGGGGTTTGGTGAGGCTGTTTTGTGGTCAGCTGCTTTAGAAGCTCACTTTCTCTGCAATCAAACAGTGACTGTTTACATGTCTGTTTATGGGTTTAAAAAATCCTAATATTTCCTTTATAGTAGTTCACCTTGTATGTGTTTATTTGTATAAATTTTATTAGAGTAAAGAGAGCTTAAGACAATAGCATTTTAAGGTCTTAATGGGGCATAGACTTTCATGTCACAACAGCTAATGTTGACCTCCTTTTGCTGCCTTTGTGTAAATTACACATAAAAAGTACAGCCAGAGGTGACTAGAGCTGAGCTGCTTGGGCTTGCTTGCTGGCCTGCAGTCAGGTGGACTCTGGCTGTGAGGCAGTGCCCACCCTGGATCTACATCCCCCACTCTCTCTCCTTAGTCCCTGAGTAACCAACAAGGCCGTGCTAATGAGAGGGCGAGTGATGGGCATCGGGCACCCCAATACTATCCGGGAAAATTTGAATGCCATCTGGGCTGGAGCTGTTGGGATTACGGGCTGAGGCTGTCTTGGCTTGTCATGGTGCCACCCACAGATGTGCCTGCCCTGTGCTGCTTCTCCAGAAGCCGGCTGCCCATGGCCCTGAGCCTGTCACACCATGCTTGCTACCTCATGCTGCTTGTGTTTGAAAAACCCATCCCGAGATGACGCTGCTGGATGTAAGTCCTGAAAAGAGGGCATCACCTTTGTCCTGGGGGATTAGGAGCTGACCAGATTCCTCTTGACTCCCTCCCAGAACAAGTGGGGCAGGTGCTGCAATTAATGTTGCCCCCTAGAAGATGTGTTTGCACTGGCTGAGCAAATATACGATGCAGAAACCTAAATGAAGACACGTGAATGGGGTGTGTGGACATCAGTTAGTAGCTGGGAAACAGGTGCCTCTCAGGCATCTCGTGTTCCAGCAAGTGTGGAATATGCCTGTGCCCATGAGTGTAGACATCTGAAGTGTATACATTTGGCTGCTGCTTTTGCTGCCACTATTCCCAGGCCCAACCTGGCTTAAAGTCCAGGTTTTAAGTAAAAAGTAGGAGGCTTTTTGCCATACAGCTACTTGAGAGGCTGAGGTGAAAGCATCACTGGAGCCTAAGAGATTGAGGCTGCAGTGACCCATGATTCAGCCACTGCACTGACACAGTGAGACCTGCGTGTGCCCTTCTACAGAGAATAGCTCTGGGGCATTTGGGGATCCCTACAGTCCCGGACCCTCCCTGTCCCCTGCTGCCTGTGCTCCTTTCCTTGCCTGCTGTCAGAGCCTAACATGGAGGCGGTTGCCACCCTGTGAGCCTGAGGGAGCTGTGTCTGACTGGAACTTCTGTCTGAGGTTTTGCGAAGTCTTACTTATGAATATGGTCTGTCCAGATACCTTGTTTCAAAGGAAGTGAGCATGAGATAGCAAGTGTAGCCACCCCACAGCTGATAAACAACTTTGTCTTGTTTTTAAATCATCAATCTTCATTTCACATTGGAATAAAGTAAGTGAAACCTGCTACCCGAGCCTCGCCCGTGTGTTCTGTAACCCAGACTCATGTGGTTGTGTGGGCTGTTGTCAGAAATGTTATAAAAAGGTTATGCATAAATTAGATCAAATATAAAATTATGCTTATAATGTCACTTGAGTGGGAGGTAAGAGGGTAGAGTCACAGGAAATCTGTTGGGGTTTACACCCCTGCTACTTACCAAGCTCATGAGAGTGTGGCACTGGTGACCATCACCTGACATTGGTGACAGAAGAGAAAAGGCCGAAGTGAAGGCCAGGTAGGAGAGAGGTGCCAGGCTGTGGGGCCAGGCCCTGCGCATGCTGGGCCTGTTAGGTCACTGAACATCTAACTACCCGGGAACCAGCTCTTTTCACATCATTTGAGGTAAGACGATGGGGGAGCACTCTCCAGAAGTCACACTGCGCTGGGAGAATGGAGGAGAGTCTACATACCGCCATCTTAGGGTAGGTTTTAGATTGAGCTGAACTGTCTTGGAGAGCTAATGAGATGGGAGGAAGACAGTCCCCCAGGTGCACCTAACAGCCAGAGCCTATGAAGTTATGGGGGTTGTGTGGGGGTGGCCTTTCCCTATAAGAGGAGGAGCTTAAAGCTCTTAAAGCTGGTGGCTGCTGCTCTGCCATCCCTCTACAGAGCAGTCAAGTCCTCAGCTGCAAGAATATCTGAATGTCTTTTGGAGTGTTAGAGTCCTCTGTGTCTTAGAAATTTTGAAAAGAAAAACAAATCTCAATTTTAATGTTGATTGGTTTCTCTGAGCCAGTTGGGAAAAAAGATGTCCTTCACCTCAAAGGTTTAAGTGACACCGAAGGGTAGCCACCAGTGTCTCGGCCACTGAAGCCTCATGCATGCTCTCACTACCAGTTTGATTTGCAGCCCCATAGTTGTGTTGTACTAAATATTCTTTCCTCTGGCCTTGTCCAGTGAACACGGTTCACATGGCTAACACCACTTCTTGAGATGCGAGCACCATGCAAAGCTGAGAACGGATTGGGTTTTGTGACCATTGTGCCTCCTCCTCACCTGAGAGGCCCATTTTTCCTGGTTGATTCATTAAGTGTATTGGTGCTGTCAGTCGCCTCTGGACAATTCAAATGACAAGTGGCTGTTGATTCATAAAGAAAATGAAGGCTTTAGATGTGAAACCCTCGTTTTCTCTTGTCCTTCTCTTAGGTGAAAGATTTTATTTTTTTCAAAAGGCTACATACTGGTATCCCAGCAGGTGTAGTGTGAGAACTGGCATATGTTAGGCTATGGTGTCAGTGTGGATGGGCAATTCTTCAAGATGGAAAACCAAGTCTCACTGAGTTGCTGGAGCCACAGTGACCTTTCTCCACATCCCCCACCGTGGGCTTTCACTTTTATCCTGTGCTTGAATTTTTTTCACATACAAATTCTTTATACACACACACAGACACACACACACATATCTCACTCTGTCAATGCAGTGGCTGAATCATGGGTCACTGCATCTTCAAATTCTTAGGCTCCAGTGATGCTTTCAAATCAGCCTCTCAAGTAGCTGGGACTACAGGCATGCAAAGCTACACCCAGACAATTTTTAAATATTTTTCTAGAGACTGAGCCTACTTATGTTGCTCAGACTCGTCTTGCACTCCTGGGATCAAGCGATAATCCCACCTTGACCACCCAAAGTGTTTAGATTACAGGTGTGAGCTAGCACTCTCAGCAAAAATATATTTTAAAGAACCGTTACAACCAAATTATGAGTTATCATTATGCCACTGCCCTCCACCCTGGGCACCAGAACAAGACCTTGTATCCAAAAACTAAGCAAAACTAAACAAGAACAAAAAAAAAAAACTTATAAATAAACTTTGAAGATTGTGTCATCTGTGTCCTTCCCTGCCCTCCAAGCTATCAATGTTAAATATAATGGTTATTGAGAAAATGGTTAGATATTATTAAGAAATTTCTATATATCTTCCAGCTGAGAATAGGTATTCTGTTGTGGCCCAAATATTTTCTCACCGCTACCTTCAGGGTCTAAACTAGCAAATCAGGACACCTGCAGAGGACAGTTGGCCGTTTTCAAATAGAAAGAGAAATACCCCCGTTCATGAGAGTAATCCAGTGATTTTCAAAAAGACAAGTCACACTGACATCCAGCGCAGTCAGGCCACAATTACCCTGGAATAATCACTTCACACAGAATGGTTGAGGAGACTTTCTAAGATGAGCAAATTTGGGCAGCATAATCCTTGCTTATTTATTCCCAGCCCCCACTGCCCGCCTGATTCCTAATGGCTACCCTACAATGTGGTCAGCAGTGGGATGTAGCGTGGTGAGAGAGGGGCTCAGGGACGGGATGAAGGTCTTTCCTGCATTATCAAAATGCAGGTTAAAAAGTTGTTAAAAAGATGTCCAAATGTTCTAATTCCTACTGTTAAATAGCTGCTAAGATGCATTATACAACAGACCCAGGTAAGGGAAGGAGCATGTGCATTTCAAGTCTCAGCTCACTTCTTAATTAGCTGTGATACTCTGGGCAGGTGACCCCAACTATACGAGCCTGTGTGCCTGTCAACCCAAAACAATCCTAAGCAAAAACACCAAAGCTTGGGGCATCTTGCTACCCGACTTCAAACTATACTACAAGGCTGCAGTAACCAAAACAGCACAGTACTAATACCAAAACAGATATATAGACCAATGGAACAGAACAGAGGCCTCAGAAATAACATCACACATCTACAACCATCTGATCTCTAACAAACCTGACAAAAACAAGCAATGGAGAAAGATTTACTACTTACCAAATGGTGCTGAAAGAACTGGCTAGCCACATTCAGAAAACAGAAACTGGACCCCTTCTTTACACCTTATACAAACATTATCTCAAGATGGATTAAAGTCTTAAATATAAAACACCAAACCACAAAAACCCTAGAAGAAAACCTAGGCAATACCATTCAGGACATAGGCATGAGCAAAGACTTCAGGAATAAAATACCAAAAGCAATCACAACAAAAGCTAAAATTGACAAATGAGATCTAATTAAACTAACGAGCTTCTGCACAGCAAAAGAATCTATCATCAGAGTGACCAGGCAACCTACAGAATGACAGAAAATTTTTGCAATCTATCCATGTGTCAGAGGTCTAATATCCAGAATCTACAAGGAACTTAATTTCACACACACACACAAAAAAAACATCAAAAAGTGAGTAAAGAATATGAACAGACTATTCTCAAAAGAAGACATTTGGCTGGGCGTGGTTGATCAAGCCTGTAATCCCAGCACTTTCAGCCATGGAGGCAGGTGGATCATGAGGTCAGGTGTTCAAGACTAGCCTGGGCAACATGGTGAAACCATGTCTCTACTAAAAACACAAAAAATTAGCATGGTGTTTTGGCGGGTGGCTGTGATTCCAGCTTCTTGGGAGGATAAGGCAGGAGAATCACTTGAACCTGGGTGGCAGATGTTGCAGTGAGCTGAGATCCTGCCACTGCACTCCAGCCTGGGTGACAGAGCTAGACTCCGTCTTTAAAATAATAATAAATAAAATAAATAAAAAGAAAAGGAAGAAGGAGAAGAAGAAGAGGAAGAAGAAGAAGAAGAAGAAGAAGAAGAAGAAGAAGAAGAAGAAGAAGAAGAAGACATTTATGTGGTCAACAAACACACAAAAAGGAAAAAGAAAAAAGCTCATCATCACTGATGATTAGAGAAATGCAAATCAAAACCACAATGGGATACCATCTCACACCATTTGGAATGGCAGTTATTAAAATGTCAGGAACAACAGATGCTGATGAGGCTATGGAGAAATAGAAACGCTTTTACACTGCTGGGGGCGGGAGTGTAAATTACTTCAACCATTATGGAAGACAGTGTGGTGATTCCCTAAGTATCTAGAACCAGAAATACCATTTGACCCAGCAATCTCATTACTGGTTATATACCCAAAGGAATATAAATCATTCTAGCATAAAGACACATGCACTCATATATCTATTGCAGCACTGTTTACAATAACAAAGACTTGGAACCAACCTAATGCCCATCATTGATAGACTGGAAAAAGAAAATGTGGCACATATACACCATGAAATAATATTCAGCCATAAAAAGAATGAGTTCATGTCCTTTGCAGGGACGTGAATGACACTGGAAACCATTCTCTTCAGCAAACTAACACGGGAACAGGAAACAGAACACCGTATGTTCTCACTCATATGTGGGAGTTGAACAATGAGAACACATGGACACCGGGAACAAAACATCACACACTGGGGCCTGTTAGGATGTTGAGGTCAAGGGGAGGGAGAAAATTAGGACAAATACCTAATGCATATGGGGCTTAAATCCTAGACGTCAGGTTGATAGAAGCAGCAAACCACCATGGCACATGTAAACCTATGTAACAAACCTGCACGTTCTGCACATGTATTCCAGAACTTAAAGTAAAACAAACTAACAAAAATGCACTAAGGCTGAGGGGGAGTGGGGGTAGGGGCAGGAGTCAGGCGGGGGTGGGTGAGTCCTGGAGTTTTATCCAGTCATTGACACTGATGTGGGAACAGCCCAATCAGGCGCGCAGTTGGAGAGGACAGGAGAGGAGGGCGTGGCTTCTGGCGTTTGGCGGGTCTTTGTCTCTCGCTGGCGCTGGCACAGGAACTTGGGATCCGTCTCCTCTTTCGCCTCCTCCGCTTTGGGAGCCCCGGGCTACTCTTTCACAGCCCCTGTTGCCCTGTGATCTGTAGGTCCTTGGGGACGCACAGTTAAGATGACAGGACATCCTGGAAGCTGGGAAATGGTGAGTATACGGGGTTCGGCATCCCGAGAGGGGAGAGCAGGCTGTGAAACCGGCAGGACCGGCCCCCACGGTTAGCTCCGAGTCTCCCGCAGCTTGGCCCTCAGTCCCCTGTGGCTGCAAGATGGCCGCTGGGCCAGCATCGAGGACCCCCACATCCGGCCTGGCCCATCCGGTGCTGTCCCTGGGCAGCGCCCTGCTCTGCGCCCACAGCCATGAGTATTTCCCAGATTGTTCAGGGAGGCCTGGTGGGTCATCAGGGAAAAACTGCCACTGGGTGTTTGCGTGGGAGGAGCTGCGGCCCGTGGGGTCCCCAGTCTCTCTTGTTAAAAATTAACGGGAGTCTATGTTAAAACGTTAACCAGTTTATCTGAACAAACAGTGATTGGTGAAATGGAAAGCACCCAGCCATGATTTCTGGTCCACCAGAGGGGCATAAAGGAAAGGCTTTCATAAGATGCATGAGAAAGCAGCCCAAATTCAAAAATTGGTTCCAGTTATGTAGTCACCTTATTTGAACTATCCAGATGGAAATGTCCTGGTTACATATTCAGAGGTTAATTGCATGTTTGCCATTGGTTAAACGTGCATTTTGTTTCAGGCTAAGATAATGCTTTATAGGAAATGTATTTGAGTTAGGTTTTAGTTTTTGTTTTTTTTTTTTTAACCTATGAACCCAGGACACTAGAGCCACTTTAGTCTAATTTTCTGCTCTTTAATTATTTTAACACTCCAGAGGAGGACTGGTTTTCTCCTGTGTTTTTTTAATATATGGCAAGTGGAACCTCTAATCGACCACCCTGTTTTTCAGCCTAACTCAGGCTTGTGGTAAAATTATCAGTTCCCACTTTCTTTGCTGCATTCTCAAATGCAACACAGGAGAACAGCTTTCCCTTGCAAATTCACAATGCTGTTAACTATTTGTCCTTTATTATACATTTCATTAAAGTTTTCTATTATTGGATTTCTTTCTACTTCTCCCTACAGTTCTGCCCATATTTGCTTTTTATATTTAGAAGCCTCCCTTTTGGGTGCATAAATATATATAGCTATATTCACTTGACAAATTAACCTCTATTATTATTGTATGGTAAACTCATTTCATGCTTGTGAGAGACATTGCTAGAAAGTCTATTTTGTCTAATTTAAGCATAACTACCATTGAACTCCTTTGGCTATTATTTGCATGGAATATCATTTTCTATCCTTTCACTTTTAGCCTATGCTCTTAATTCATAATTGAGTCTCTTGTAAGCAGCATATTACGAGGTTTAAAAGTTTCATTTATCCACTCTGTCTGCTTTAGTCTCTTTTGGCTGTTATAACAGAATATCACAGACTGGTAATTAATAAAGAACAGAATTTTATTTGACTCATGATTCTGGAGGCTGGGAAGGTAAAAGAACATGTTACTGGTATCTGTTGAAGGTCTAGTTGCTGGATAATAACATGGCCAAAGATGTGAGGGAGAGACAGCTTTTTTTTTTTAATATATAACAGATCCATTCTTGTTAAAATTAGCCCATTCCCATAATAAGAACATTAATCCATTCATGAGGGCAGAGTGCTTATAGCTTAATTAATTTTTAAAGGTTCCACCTCTTAATTCTTTCACATTGGCCATTTTATCCTAAATTTTGGAGATGACATTCAGTCTACAGAAGTATCTGTTTAGTAGATACTTTAATCTTTTTATTTGTAAGGTAGTGATAAGTAAGCAGTTACTATTGTACATTTGTAGTTTTCTGTCCATTTTAAGTTTGCTTCTTTTTTTTCTGGTTCTGTCTTTCCTGTGGTATTGTTCATTTTTGTTGAGACAAAGTTATGCTTTCTTGCTCAGACTGAAGTTCAGTGGCATATCACAGCTCACTGTAGCCTCAATCTCCTGGGCTCAAGCAATCCTCCCCCCTTAGCCACCCAAGTAGCTTGGACTACTTGGACACGTACCACAACACCCAAGGAGCTTATGATTCTTCCACCTTGGCCTCCAAAAGTGTTGGAATTATAAGCAGGAGCCACTGTATCCAATGTGTAATTTTTGTTGTTTGTGTATGCTTTAATTACTTTCTCTTTTTCTTTACTATGTTTTTTTTTCCCCCAGTGGTTATCATGAGACTTATGTAAAACCTCTTGTATTTTAATAGTCTAGTTTAAGATGATAACAATTTAGAGTATTCTGAATTTCAGTATGTATTTACCATTTTTAGTGACATTTATACTTTAGTATTTTTCATATTGTTAGTTAGCATTTCATCATATCAATGTGAAGATTTCTTCCAGACCATGGCTGGAGAAGGAAAGAAGGTGTGTTTTGCCTGATTCAGGGACTATAGAGAGAACCAAGTTCTGCAGGCCTGTCACCTAAGTCTCAGATGAGTATGAATTCTTTTGTGTTTTTCACAGATTTTTGCAGTGGCAGGACCAAGTTCAAATGAGTCATAGCCAAGTTTACAGTAAGATGTGGTAGTATTCTGTTTTGAAGCCGGGACCATGATTGGCAAGCTTGCCACTTGGTCAAGTGCTTACCCTCTAAAGATGTCTTCCTTGGTCTTTGCCTCCAGCTGGGTGTCACAAACTCTGAACTGGATTCTAAGGCTTTCATGAATGCACTTATGTTTCCCGTGGCAGCTGCATTATGTTGTGGGGGATGTGCATGCCGAACCTCCCATTCTGTCATCTTGCTTATGTTACTCTCCTTTATGTTTCACTTTCTCAAATGAATGTCAAGCTGGTGATTTTTAGATTCAAAAATTCTAAAATAAATTGCTCAAATTTCCACATTATGTAAGCTATTAATAAAATGTCTTGTAGGTGCTACATATTTATTAAAATTTTTGGTTGTAATTTTAAGCTCACTGCAGGCAGAAAGGAATCATTAACATTTATATTCTTTTTTTTAGTCTGTATCTAAATGATGGCATATTTTAATTCCAGATATTTACTTTATACTGCAGTAATGCTCGTCATATTTTGCAAAATTTATGTTGTTCTTTTATTTGGAAATATAAGGCTTTTTTAGCTCCTGAAATCTATATTATAGTCATATAATTTTATTATGTTTTGTGGTAAGAAGTGCAGCAACATATTGAGAACATAATAAAATTATCCTGTATTTTTAATGATTATTTATTAAATTCCTCTCATTAGAGCCTGTTATTAATGATTGTAATGTATTTTCTGTATAATTTTACTGCAATTTATTAAATTCTAATGACTTAAATTGTCTGCTTTTCATGAGTGCACACAGTTGAATGCTGTAGATATCTAAAGAATTATTTTTCGGCCGGTTGTGGTGTCTCATGCCTGTATTCCCAGCACCTTGGGAGGCCAAGGCGGGTGGATCACGAGGTCAGGAGATCGAGACAACCCTGACTAACATGGTGAAACCCCGTCTCTACTAAATATACAAAAAATTAGCCGGGCATAGTGGCAGGCGCCTGTATCCCCAGCTACTCAGGAGGCTGAGGCAGGAGAATGGCGTGAACTCAGTGGACAGAGTTTGCAGTGAGCCGAGATCGCGCCACTGCACTCCAGCCTGGGCAACAGGGCAAGACTCTGTCTCAAAAAAAAATAAAAAAAAAAAAACGGTTATTTTCCATTGTAAATCTATGTTGTATTCAGGATTTTATGCACGAAAATCTCTCTTCTTATTTTCAAGTCCGTGTTATTGTGTTTCTTTTCTTGGGAGTTATGTTTTCTCAGATCAGTTAAATGTATTTTTATTTTAAAGCTTGATATCATCAGTTGAAAGATAATTTTTAGCTCGGTACACTTTATCTCAATGTGATGTTTAATATATGTGTGAATTAGCTGTGTTTGTTGCTTATAGATATATCTGTATGTTTTTCACTTATGTAAGTATGACATCTTTTTCCTTGTTTTTTTGTTTTTTTCTTTTCAGTTTCAGATAGGCTTTTTTTTTTTTTTAAGAGAATTTTAAAACAGAGTCGAAAGAAGAGAAATCAGTTATTTGTCCTCTTGCAGGGTGGGGAGACAACTTCCTTCCCCACAGGTTTGAGGCTATGCCTAAGTGGTGAGTCTTGAGGAGATGCAGAAAGGATCCATCCCAGGCACTTGGCTGGACTTAAGTAAGCATAGCCTTTAGGCCACAAGACCTGATGGTTTGGGTACTGGTCTGGACATAAGTCCCCATCTTCCCAGAAATATCATCTTTTGTCTGCAACAACTGGCTGGAGAAATATTTCAGAAAGATATGTGTCTGGAACACCCAAAGACATACTTTTCCTTTCTCCTTGGCATAGGCCTTGCAGCACTGAAGAAAGACCAGGTTTGCAATGGAGCCTTCAACAGTCTTCATCCCTATGGAACTCAGGGTCTCATAGGGTGACAGGAGAGGAGACAAAGCTAACTTGGGAAGAGTCTCTGTCCTTCAGCTTCTCCCCTACTGAAACACTATATATTGGGCCCACAGTTCATCACAAAACACACATGCTCTCTTTCTTTCTCTCACACCCACATCTTGGGAACCCAAAAACTTGATGGCAGGTAGCTCTGGGTATCCTTGGTCTGGCATTCACCCACTGGGAATCTAAGCTGTCCTAAAGCTCTTTTCAATCACTTCTCACTGTTTCCAGGCCCATGTGGGTAGGTGTTCCAGGCTTCATTCTTTCAGGCTGATCATAAAGGCACAGTGTGGGAAAATCCCCTACTGTGATGGCCATTGCTGGGAAGCAGGAAAGGCTAAGGGCCCACTGCTGCCCAAGGCTAGTATAGATGCCCTCTGCTCCACTCATGTCCTCAAAGACTGATATCAGGTGCAGCAGCTGCTGTCTGGAATGTTATCAAACCAGGACTGCACAGGCACTGCATTCTCTGTGTGGAAGACATAAGAAGCAGGCGAGTTGTCCAGGATGAGAGTTTTCCTCAGGTCCCTCCCCAGATGGCTGAGGTCATTGACATAGCAGCCCTGGTGGAACAAACGTGACTCATGGGCTAGGCAACCCCAGAACACCTCACACTGGTCCAGCACACCCATCACAATGTGTCTGGAATTGGTGGGTTCTTGTTCTCACTGACTTCAAGAATGAAGCCACAGACCCTCACGGTGAGTGTTACAGTTCTTAAAGGTGGCATGTCTGGAGTTTGTTCCTTCTGACATTCGGATGTGTTGAGAGTTTCTTCCCTCTGGTGGGCTCGTGGTCTCGCTGGCTCAGGAGTGAAGCTGCAGACGTTCGCGGTGAGTGTTACAGCTCTTAAGGTGGCACATCTGGAGTTGTTCATTCCTCCAGGTGGGTTCGTGGTCTCGCTGGCTTCAGGAGTGAAGTTGTGGACCTTCACAGTGAGTGTTACAGCTCATAAAGGCATTGTGGACCCAAAGAGTGAGCAGCAGCAATATTTATTGCAAAGAGCAAAAGAACAAAGCTTCCACAGTGTGGAAGGGGACCCGAGTGGGTTGCCACTGCTGGCTGGGGCAGCCTACTTTTATTCCCTTATCTGGCCCCACCCACATCTTGCTGATTGTTAGAGCCGAGTGGTCTTTTTTCACAGGGCGCTGATTGGTGTGTTTACAATCCCTGAGCTAGACACAAAGGTTCTCCACATCCCCACCAGTGTAGCTAGATACAGAGTGTTGATTGGTGCATTCACAAACCCTGAGCTAGACACAGGGTGCTGGTTGGCATGTTTACAAACCTTGAGCTAGATACAGAGTGCCGATTGGTGTATTTACAATCCCTGAGCTAGACACAAAGTTTCTCCACGTCCCTACCAGACTCAGGAGCCCAGCTGGCTTCACCCAGTGGATCCCCCACAGGGTCTGCAGGTGTAGCTGCCTGCCAGTCTGGCACTGTGCACCCGCACTTCTCAGCCCTTGAGTGGTTGATGGGACTGGGTGCTGTGGAGCAGGGGGTGGCACTCATCCAGGAGGCTTGGGCACACAGGAGCCCACCGATGGGGGGGAGGCTCAGGCATGGCGGGCTGCAGGACCCAAGCACCGCCCTGTGGGATGGCAGCTAAGGCCCAGCGAGAAATTGAGCACAGCAGCTGCTGGCCGAGGTGTTAAGCCCCTCACTGCCTGGGGCCGGTGGGGCCAGCCGGCGGCTCCGAGTGTGGGGTCCGCCGAGCTCGCGCTGGCCTTCAAGCACTGCACGCCGCCCTGGTTCCCACACGCACCTCTCCCTCCACACCTCGTCGCAAGCTGAGGGAGCCGGCTCCGACCTTGGCCAGCCCAGAAAGGGGCTCCCACAGTGCAGCGACAGGCTGAAGGGCTCCTAAAGTGCCGCCAAAGTTGGAGCCCAGGCAGAGGAGGCCCGGAGAGTGAGCAAGGGTTGTGAGGACTGCCAGCACGCTGTCACCTCTCAACAGGATCTGCATACTTGTTCAGTCTGGAATGAAGAGAGCAATGAAGAAAACACATTTAAACAATTCCTCCAGTCATCTCAGGAACTCATCCATATAAGGCCTCATGGTCCCCTCAATCTTTACAGTCACTAGGCAGTCAGCATTGCTGATTGGCTTAATGGAGCTATGCACAAGGGTTTCATCCATGTCAGTGACCATACAGATCGTTCCTTGATTTTTCTCTGTCACCTCTGGGAGCAGGCAGGTCCCTGGGATCTGATAAAACTGATACTGGAGACCCTTGAGCTGATCCGACTTAGCAATGGTGTTGACTCCCTCCTTATGTGTGGAGAACTCAGTGGGGGAACTTGACTTGCCAACATGCTGGGTGCAAGAACAGCAGAAAGGTACCTTCTAAGATGTCACAAACATGAGGCCTCTTCGGAGAGCACTTTGGAAACCAGGCCTTGCTTGCTAAGGACCAGGGCATCTTCCCTCCATGCCTGGGTGGTGATGGAGCCTGGTTCCATCTAACAATCCTGAGGGCTCGGCTGGCTGGGTGGGAAGACAGCGGGCACGTTGGCTGGACTGGGCTGGGGGGCATGGGCTGGGGCCTGATTCAGTTCCCGAGAGTCTGACTTCCACAGCTGTTCACATACCCCTTCTCCTTTCCATCACAGGCCGGGAAGGGAGGCGGTCTGTAGGGACGGTGGATGGCCTTGGCAGCAGCTCCCCAGGGTGCCCCCAGCCCCAAATCCCCCAGCAGGAGCTTCAGGATCCTCAGTTTGGGTCTAACCTAGGGAATCCACCTCATACTCATGTTTTTTCAAGTTTTATTTTAAGTTCAGTGGTCCATATGTGATAAGCTTTTTTTTCAACTTTTATTTTAAGTTTAGGGGTCCATGTGCAGGATATGCAGGTCTCTTACATAGATAAACGTGTGCCATTGTGCTTTACTGCACAGATCATCTCATCACCCAGGTACTAAGCCCAGCATCCGCAGCTATTCTTCCTGCTGCTCTCCTTCCCCTCCCCCATGCCATGAAACAGGTGTCCAGTGTGTGTTGTTCTTCCTGATGTGTCCATGTGTTCTCATTGATCTGCTTCTGCTAATAAGTTAGAATAATAATAGGTGGTGTTTGGTTTTCTGTTCCTGCATTAGTTTGCTGGGAGTAATGGCTTCAAATTCCAACCATGTCCCTGCAAAGGACATCATCTCATTACATTTTATGGCTTCATAGTGTTCCATGGTGTATGTGTACCACATTTTCTTTATCCAGTATATCATTGATGGGCATGTAGATTGATTACATGACGTTGCTATTGTAAATATTGCTGCAATGAACATATGTATACATGTTTATTTAAAATAGATTTATATTCCTTTGGGTGTATGCCCAGTAATAGTATTGCTGGGTCAAATGGTATTTCTGCTTCTAGGTCTTTGAGGAATCTCCACACTCTCTTCCACAATGCTTGAAATAATTTACAATCCCACCAACAGTGTAAAAGTGTTCCCTTTTCTCCACAACCTCACCAGCATCTGTTTTTATTTCTTTTTTACTTTTTATTAATAGACATTGTAATTGGTGTGAGATGGTATCTCATTGTTGTTTTGATGTGTATTTATCCAGTTATCAGTGATGTTGAGCTTTCCATGTTTGTTGGGCACATGTATGTCTTCTTTTGAGATATGTCTGTTCATGTCCTTTGACCACTTTTTAATGGGGTTGTTTGTTTTTCTCTTGTAAATTTTAAGTCCCTCATAGATTCTGGGTATTAGATATTTGTCAGATGAATAGGTTGCAAAATTTTTCTCCCATTCTCTAGCTTCTCTGCTCTGATGATAGCTTCTTTGGCTCTGTGGAATCTCTTTAGTTTAATTAGACCCCATTAGTCAATTTTTGCTTTTGTTGCTATTTCTTTTGGTCTTTTTGTCATCAAATCTTTCCTCATGACTATATCCTGAATGGTATTTTCTAGATTTTTTCTTCTAAGGTTTTTATAGTTTTGGGTTTTACATTCAAGTCTTTAATCCATCTTGAGTCAATTTTTGTCTATGGTGTTAGGAAGGGTTCCAGTCTTAATTCTCTGCACATGACTAGCCAGTTATCCTAGCACTATTTATTGAATAGGGAGACTTTTCCCTAATTCCTTGTTTTTGTTGACTTTGTCAAAGATCAGTTTGTTGTAGGTTTTTGGCTTTATTTCTATGCTCTCTATTTTGTTTCATTTGTCTATGTGTCTGTTTCTATACCAGTACCATGCTGTTTTTGTTACTGTACTCTTCTAGTACAGTTTGAAGTTAGGCAATGACCCTTTCAGCTTTTTTTTTTTTTTTTTCTTAAGGTTGGCTTGGCTATTTGGGCCAACCAAAAAAGATTTTGGTTCCATTTTAATTTTAAAAAGTTTTTTTTTTCTAATTATCTGAAGAATGTCAGTAGTTCAATGGGAACAGCATTGAATCTATAAATTACTTAGGGCAATATGCTCATATTCGTGGTACTGATTCTTTCTCTCCGTGAGCATGGAATGTTTCTCCATTTGTTTTGTGTCCACTCTGATTCCTCTGAGTAGTTGTTTGTAGTTCTCCTTGAAGATATCCTTCACTTTCCTTCTTAGCTGTATTCCTTGGTATTTTTTTCTCTTTATAGCAAATGTGAATGAAAGTTCATTCATGATTTGTCTCCCTGCTTGCCTGTTGCTTGTGTATGGGAATGCTAGCTACTTTTGCAGAATGATTTTATATCCTGAGATTTTGCTACTGCTGCTTATCACCTTAAGAAGCTTTGGGGCTGAGACGAAGAGGCTTTCTAGATATAGGGTCAGGTCATCTGTAAACAAAGATAATTTGACTTTCTCTCTTTCTATTTGAATACTGTTTATTTCTTCCTCTGGCCTGATTTTCCTGGACAAGTTTTCCGAATGGGAGTTGTAATGCGAGTGGTGAGAGAGAGCATACTTTTCTTGTGCCGGTTTTCAGGGGGAATGTTTCCAGCTTTTGCACATTCAGTATGATATTGGCTGTGGGTTTGTTGTATATGGCTCTTCTTATTTTGAGGTATGTTTCTTCAGTTCCTAGTTTATTGAGAATTTTAAACGTGAAGGAATGTTGAATTTTATTGGGTGCTTTTTCTGCATCTATTGAGGTAATCATGTGGTTTTTTTATTTAGTTTTCTTTATGTGATGAGTCACATTTGTTGATTTGCATATGTTGAATCAACCTTGCATCCTGGGGACAAAGCCAATTCCATTGTGGTGGATGCACTTTTTAATGTGCTGCTGGGTTTGGTTTGCCAGTATTTTATTGAGGATGTTTGCACAGTGTTCATCAAAGACATTGGCATGATGTGTTGTTGTTGTTGTTGTTGTATCTATGTTAGGTTTTGGTATCAGGATGATGCTGGCCTGATAGAATGAGTTAGACAGAACTTCTTTGTCTTCAATTTTTTTTGGATAGTTTTAGGAGAAAATGTACTATCTCCTCTTTACCTCAAGTCAAATTCAGCTTGCTTGGTAGGCTAGTTCTTACTGCCTCAATTTCAGAACACATTATTGATCTATTCAGGGTTCAGTCTTGTAGAGAGTTTATTTTGCAAGGAAATTGTCCATTTCTTCTAGATTTTCTGGTTTATGAGCATAGAGGTGTTTATAGTATTCTCTGATCGTTGTTCTTATTTCCATGGGATCAGTGATGATATCTCCCTTATTATTTCTATTTGTGTTTGGTTCTTTCTTTTCTTATTTATTTGCCTAACTAGTGTTCCATCTAGTTTATTAATTTTTTTTTTTTTTCATAAAAACAGCTCCTGGATTGGTTGAGTTTTTTTTTTTTTTTTTTTTTTGGAAGAGTTCTCAGTGTCTCTATCTCCTTCAGCTCTACTCTGATCTTGGCTATTTCTTGTTTTCTGCTAGCTTTCAGGTTTGTTTTCACTTGGTTTTCTTGTTCTTTTAATCAAGATGTTAGGCTGTTAACTTCAGATCTTTCTAATTTTTTTTTTTTTCTTGTGGGAGAGTTTCACTCTGTCACCCAGACTGGAGTACAGTGGCATAATCTCGGCTCACTGCAACCTCCTCTTCTCGGTTTTAAGTCACTTCTGCTGTCTCAGCCTCCTGAGTAGCTGGGATTACAGATGTCAATCACCACACCTAGCTAATTTTTGTATTTTTTTGTAGATATATGGTTTTGCTGTTGGTCAGGCTGGTCCTGAACACCTGGTCTCAAGTGATCTGCCTACCCCAGCCTCCCAAAGTGCTGGAATTACAGGCATGAGCCACCATGACTGGCCCTTTCTAGCTTTTTGATGTGGACATTAGTGCTATAAATTTTCCTCTTTTCTTGGTTTCTAGTGATTATTTTATTCTATCTTGGTGAGTAGTCAGGGAAATAATCTTAAATTTACAATCAACTTATAGTTTAAATCTAAAAAATTATGTGAGAAGAACCCTTTGTTATTTGAAGGGGATGTTTGAAGATTTTGTAACCGTGCCTTTTAGGTAGTCCTAAATTTCTAATTGTAGTTAAAAACATGCCATTTTCATTTCTAACATTTTAAGTATATGGTTTAGAAGTGGTAAGTATAGTTCTATTTTTTTTGCAATAGGTTTTAGATAATTTTTGTCTTACAAAATTAAAAGTGAATACTCATTAATTCTGAAACAAGTTAGTTAGCTTGCTTTAGTTAGATAGCAAGAGAAGGGTCCCTGGAAAGTCCCTGGCCCTTGGGTCAGTATCTCATCCCTGCATAACATAAAAGGAATCCTGGAAAAAATCAAGCTGCAGACACTAACAAGGTAACTAGCACATGGTGTTGTGCTTGGAGACCTGCCCATGGCTGCACAGACAGAAAAACCTCTGGCCCATTTGGATAAAAACTGGTACAAACCTCCAGCTCACTGAGATAAGGGAACAAGACCGACCTGGCATAGAAATGCCTTTGTTTGGCCAGGCATGGTGGCTCATGCCCGTAATTCCAGCAATTTGGGCGGAAGTGGGCGGATCACCTGAGGTCGGGAGTTCGAGACCAGCATGACCAACATGGAGAAACCCTGTCTCTACTAAAAATACAAAATTAGCCGGGCATGGCGCCTCATGCCTGTAATCCCAGCTACTTGGGAGGCTGAGGCAGGAGAATCACTTAAATCCAGGTGGCGGAGTTTGCTGTGGGCTGAGATCGCACCACTGCACTCCAGCCTGGGCAACAAGAGCAAAACTACGTCTCAAAATAAATAAATAAATAAATAAATAAATAAATAAATAAATAATAAGAAAGTACATCTCAAAAAAAAAAATGAAAGAAAGAAAGAAAAGAAAAAGAAAAAAAGAAACGCCTTTGTACTTTGTGCAGTCAGTGCGCTCCCAGGAAAATGTTTCTTCTCCTTCTGTGGGCATAAGCACAGTGGGCTCTGGTGCATTCCGGTCGACACTCTCCTTTATTTGGACTGTAAGTCTGACCTCTGTGAATAATTACTTCAGCCCCTGATTGCTCCCGGGACAAGCTCCTGCGCCAAGCTTTCACTTTGGCTTCTTATAAGTCCTGGGCCAATCTAAATAGCATCTATGAATCATCCCTTCAGCTCCTGATTGGTCCCGGGCCAAAGTCCTGGGCCAAGCTGAGCCACACTTTTTTCAAGACAGCCTGTGAACTAAGCACATTTCCTTCTCTTCCTTTCCCAGTCCATAAAAACCTTGGGCCCCAGCCTCACAGAGGTCACCCCATTCAGAAACTATCTCTGCTGGCAAAGAGCTTTCTTCTCTTGCTTATCAAACTTTCACTCTAACCTCACCTTTGTGTTCACGCTCCTTAATCTCCCTAGAAGTAGAACAAAGAACTTTCGATGCTATCTCAGACTATGAGAGACTGTTACATCTTGGTGCACTGCTGAGACTACAACACTTGGTTTCTTTGAGTTTGACTAAATATTTTACATAGGTGTAATTATACAGTTTTCCTTTTTGACTGTCTTGTTTTACTTAACAGAATGTTTTCGAGATTTGTCTTTATTGTAGTACTTTTCAAGATTTCCTTATTTTCAAGGCTGAATGCTATCCCAGTGAATACACATGCCCTGTTTGTTGAATCTACTCATCCTTAAAGGTACATTTGCTTCCAGGTAGTATGTTTGTGAGTAATGCTACAGTGTACATAAATGTGCATATATCTATTCCATGTTCTGCTTTGCCTGTTTGGGATATTTTTCACACACTGATTTAGTACCATGTGTATTCCCTTGCTTTTGTTGTCTGATCCGTTGATGTTACATCCCCCAAATTATTGCCGAGACCAATTGTCATGAAGCTTCACCCTTCTGTATTGTGCTAGGAATTTTACAGCTATAGATTTTACATTATAGTCTTCATATTTTAAAATTGACACATGTAATTGTACAAATTTTGGGGAAACAATTATGTATATATGTTGTATAGCAATAAAAATCAGAGTACTTAGTGTAATTATTGCCTCATACATTTGTTATTTTTGTGGTGAGAACATTCAAAAGCTTCTTCTCTAGCTATTTTTTTATATCTTTATGTATTAACTTTTTTTAGAGACAGGATCTTGCTCTAACACACAGATTGGAGTGCAGTGGTGCAATCCTAGCTCACTGTAACCTCAAACAATCTTCTAACCTCAGCTTCCCAATTAGCTGAGACTACAGGAACCTGCCTCCATGCCTGGATAATGTTTTAATTTTTCATAGAGACGGGGTCACACTACGTTGTCCAGGCTCATCTTGAACTTCTGTCTTCAAGTGATTCTCCTACCTCATTCTCCCAAAATGTATGGATGGCAGGAATGTGCCACCACAACTGGTCTCTTTTAGCTATTTTGTAATATGAGATAACTTTTCATTAATTATTATTATTCTGCTGTGTAACAAAAAACAAAAACTTATTTCTCCTATCTAATTGTAACACAATACTTTTGAAGCTGCCTTTTCCCATCTACCTGCTTCAGTCTCTGGTAACCCCTGTTGTACTCTTTGCTTATATCAACCCTTTTTTTCAGGTTCCTCAAATGAGTGAGATAATAAGATCATAAAGTATTTGTGTTTCTCTATGTGGCTTATTTTACTTAACATGGTATGCTCAAGGTTCATCCATGCTCTTTTAACTGACAGAATTTTATCCTTTCTTATAGCTGAATAGTATTTCACTGTGCATATATAGTACATTTTCCTTATCCATTTATCTGTTACTGTACATTTGAATTGATTCCATATATAAGCTATTATAACTAGTTCTGTAACTAACATGGAAATGCAAATATCTTTTTGACACAGTGATATCCTTTCTTTTGTATATACATACAGGAGTAAAATTGCTGGATCATGTAATACATCTATTTTTAATTTCTTTCAGAAACCTCCATAGTATTTTCTATAGTGGCCATACTAATTTACAATTCCACCAACAATGTATACATTCACTCATTTTATATCCTCATTAGTACTTGTTTTATTTATTTATTTATTTTTATTATAGCCATTCTAAATGGGAGTGAGGCGGTACCTCATTGTGGTTTGGATTTTCATTTCCTTGGTGATTAGTAATGTAGAACATATTTTTATGTTCCAGTTAGCCATTTTTGTATCACTTTTTGACAAACATCTATTAAGATCTTTTGCATTTTTTAAATTAGATTATAAGTGTATTTTATTTTGAGATTTTAAAGTTTCTTATTTATTCTGAATATTAGCCTTTTGTCACATGTATATGAGAACATTTTCTGTCATCGCCTAAGCTGTCTCTTCAAATTTTTAGTTGTTTTTTTAATATGAAAGGTTGCAGTGAACTGAGATCACACCATTGCACTCCACCCTGGGCAACAAGAGGAAAAACCCATCTCAAGATAAAAAGAAAGAAAAGAAAAGAAAGAGCATTGAATCAGTAAACCACTTTCAGTAGTAGTGACATGTTAACAACATTAAGTCTATAACCTCTTGAACAAGAGTGTGTTTGAGAATTTGTTGTTTAATTTTTACTTATTCTTTGACATGCTAGTGTTTTTAACTTCTTGTTTTATTGTATCATAGTTAGCAATAATTTTGTAATTCCATCTGCTTAAATTTGCTAAGATTCATTTTTTAACTTAACAGGTGGTCTCTCTGGAATATTGTGGCATGTGTGATTAAAAGTATTGCAGATTCTACTGTTGAGTGGAGAGATATAAATGTGACTGTTAGGTCTAATTGTTCTATCGTGTTGTTGAAATCCTCTGTTTACTTATCCATCTTATGTTTGTTTTTTAATTTACATTACTAAAAGTCAGATATAAAAGTCATTTACTGTTATCAGGTGCTGGCTACTTCATGTTTCAATTCTGTAAAATGTTGCTTCATATGTTTGGGAACTGTGATGTAAGGCACATACGTCACTGTTGTTGCTTTTATTGTTGTATGTTGTTTTAATGTTGTTGCTTTTATTGTTGTATGTTGCTTTATTGTTGTTGCTTTTATTGTTGTTGTTTTTATTGTCCTTTTCCTCTTGTCTCTTGAGGAAGTTTTTGATATAATATGTATTTTGTCTACCATGACAGTATTTGATTTTGCATTTAATATTTTTTATTATTCTTTCATGTACAGGTTATATGTGTTCCAGATCATAATTTGGTTATTTGTAGGAAGCAGAGAGTTGAATCTTGTTTCATGAATTTATTTAGTGAAAGTATGTTTTTGATTGACATAATTGATTTATATAAAAAAATTACTAAAAGGGAATGATTTCGTATTGCATTTTGTTTCTTTTTTGTTTTAGGTCCTGCAGCTTTTTTTTTTTTTTTTTTTTTGAGACGGAGTCTCTCTCTGTCGCCCAGGTTGGAGTGCAGTGGTGAGATCTTGGCTCAAAGTAAGCTCTGCCTCCCGGGTTCATGCCAGTCTCCTGTCTCAGATTCCCCAGCAGCTGGGATTGCAGGAGCCTGCCACCACTCCCGGCTATTTTTCTTTTTTTTTTGGTAGAGACGTGGTTTCACCGTGTTAGCCAGGATGGGCTCGATCTACTGACCTCGTTGATCCACCCACCTCGGCCTCCCAAATTGCTAGGATTACAAGCGTGACCCACCGCCCCTGGCCGGTCCTGTAGCTATTTCGTTCCTGTTTTTCTCTCTTGTTCTCTTTCTTAGTGTACTATTGATTTTTGTAGGGACATGTTTTAATTCTTTTCTCACTACTCTCTGTGTGTGTATGTCTTTGTGTGTGTGTACTATAGGTATTTCCTTTTTTTTTTTTTTTGACAGGGTCTTGCTCTGTCACCCAGGCTGGAGTGCAGTGGCACAATCTCTGCTTACTCAAGCTCTGCCTCTCAGGCTCAACTCAAACAATCCTCCCACCACAGCCTTCTGAGTACCTGGGACCACAGATGTGCACCACTACTCCTGGCTAACAGTTGTTATTTTGCATAGAGACAGGGTTTTGCCATGTTGCCCAGACTAGTCTCAAAATCCTAAGAACTGTAGGTATTTTCTTTGTTGTTACTATAGATATTACCAAGAATAACTACTATTGCATATAAAACCCTGCCTCTTTATGGCTCCCTATGTGTTTTATTGATGTCACAAATTATATCATTTTGTGTTGTGAATCTATTGGCACAGATTTATAGTCATTTTTAAGTCTTTGTTATCTCAAATATATAGCAGAATTAAAGTATTTTGTGCATCTTCATTATAATTACAAAGAATATTATGATTGTGTACATAATTTTCTCTATTAGAAAAGGTCATATTTTACATAATTTTGTGTTGCTCTCATCATTATTTCATTTTTTAATATGAATGACTATTTAGCATTTTTTAAGACAGGCCTAGTGGGTATAAATTTATACAGTTTTTGTTGATCTTGAATATTCTTTATTTTTATTTTTTAATTCATTTGAAATGATAGTTTTGGCAGACATAGTGTTCTTGGCTGGTACTTGCCATTTTTTCAGCACTTTGAGTATGTCATCCTACAACCTCTTACCTGTAAGTTTTTTTGCTGAGACATCTGCTGGTCATCCTGCAGGGGTAAACTTGTACATGCTAAGTCACTTTTTTCTTGCTGACTTCAAGATTCTCGGTGTTTTAACTTTTGAATCTCTGATTATAATGTGTCTTGTCATGGGTCTCCCTGTGTTGTTACTAGTTAGAGTTGGTAAAGTTTCATTAAATTTTAGGTCATTTTCTCCCTCAAATTCTGAGTTCTCTGTCACTGTTTGTTTCTTGAAATAACTTTGCTGCTCTCTTTTCTCTTTTTATTTTAGAATTCCCATTATGAGTATATTGGCCATCTTAATGGTATCCTATAAGTCCCTTAGGCTCTCTTAATTTTTTAAATTATTTTTAGCCTCCTCACCCTATAATTTCAAATGACTTCTTATGAGGCTTGCTGAATTTTTTCCTGCTAGATCAAACCTGTTGTTGGACCTTCTAGTGAATCTCTAAACTCAGGTATTTTACTTTTCAGCTCTACACTTTGTTTCTATTTTGCACTTTTAATCACTTCTTTGATAATCTCATTATCTTCATGCATTGTTTTCTTTTTCTGTTTAGTTTACTATATTCTTCTTTAGCTGACTGAGCATCTTTAAGCTAGGTGTTTTAGCCAGGCACAGTGACACGTGCATGTAACTCCAGCTACTTTGAAAGCTAAGGCAAGAGGGCTACTGTATTAATCCATTATCATGCTGATAATAAGGACATAAACAAGACTATGTAATTTATCATGAAAAAAGTTTTAATGGCCTCTCAGTTTCACATGGTTAGGGAGGTCTCACCATTATTGGAACAAGCAAGAGACTGTTCAGGGGAACCTCCACTTATAAAACCATCAGATCACATGAGACTTATTTGTTATCATGAGAACAGCACGGGAAAATCCCACCCCCATGATTCAATTACCTCCCACAGGGTACCTCCCAGGACATATGGGGATTATTACAATTTAAGATGAGATTTGATTGGGGACACAGAGCCAAACCCTATCAATTACTTAAAGCCAGGAGTTTGAGACTACCCCGGGCAATATTGTGAGAAGCTATTGGTAAAAAATATTTTCACATATTACTCAGGCATTGTGGAATGTTCCTGTAGTCTCAGGAAGTTGGAGGCTGAGGTAAGATTATTCCTTGAGTTCCCCAGGAACTTGAGGCTGCATTGAGCTATAATCATGGTATTGTATTCCTGTCTGGGTGAGAGAGTAAGACCTCTTTTTAGCATTTCAAATTTATTTTAGATTTAGGAGGTACCTACACAGGTTTTTTACATGGGTATTTTGTATAATGCTGAGGTTTGAAGTATGAGTAATTCCATCAATCAGGTAGTGAGCATAGTACTAAGTAGACAGTTTTTCAGTTCTTGGTCCCTCCCTCTCTCCACCCTCTAAGAGTTGTCTATTATTTTTGTTTTTCTGTTCATGTGTACCCAGTGTTAATTTCCATTTATAAGTGAGAATATGCAGTATTTTCATTTTTCATTTCTGCATTAATTTGCTTTGTATAATGGCCTTTAGTTGTGTTAACGTTGCTGCAAAGGAGGTTTTTTTTGTTTGTTTTTGCTAAGTAGTATTGCTGTACATGTGACACTTTTTAAATTCAATTTACCATCAATAGGCTGGACATGGTGGCTGACGCCTGTAATCCCAGTGCTGTGGGAGGCCAAGGCGGGTGGATCATGAGGTCAGGAGATCGAGACCATCCTGGACAACGTAATGAAACCCCCTCTGTACTGGAAATACAAAAGTTAGCCAGCCTTGGTGGCATGCGCCTATAGTCCCAGCTACTCGGGTGGCTGAGGCAGGAGAATTGCTTGAACCTGGGAGGTGGAGGTTGTAGTGAGCTGAGATCGTGCCACTGCACTGCAGCCTAGGCAACAGAGTGAGACGTCATCTCAAAAAAATAAAAAATTACCATGAATAGGCACGTAGGTTGATTCACGTCCTTCCTCTTATGAATAGTGTAGTGATGAACCAACAAGTGCATGTGCTATTTTGGTAGAATAGTTTATTCTCTTTTGGGTATATACCCAGCGGTGAAATTGCTGGGTTGAATCACAGTTTAACTCTCAGTTATTTGGAAAATCTCCAAGCTACTCTCCGCAGTGGCTGAACTAATTTACATTCCTATTAACAGTGTATAAGTGGTTTTTTCCCTCTAAAACCTCATCAACATCTATTATCATTTTACTTTTTAACAAAAACCATTCTAACTGGTGTACGATGGTGTCTTATTGTGGTTTTTATTTACATTTCCTTGATGGTTAGTGATGATAAGCTTTTTTCATGTTATTTGGCCACTTGTATGTGTTCTTTTGAAGAGTGTCTGTTATTGCCCACTTTTTCATGGGGTAATTTTTTCCTTGTGAATTCTTTAAGTTTCTTATAGATTCTGAGTATTAGATTTTGTCAGGTTCATAGGTTATGAATATTTTTGCCATTCTGCTAGCTTTGGGGTAAGTGAGTTTTTATTTTTCTAGTTTCTCTAAGTGTGATGTTAAATTGTTAGTTTGAGATCATTCTAACTTCTTGATGCAGGTATTTAGCACTCTCAACTTTCCTCTTAACAGAGCTCTTCCTACAACCCAGACATTTTGTTATATTGTGTCTCTTCTATTTCAAAATCTTTTTAATTTTCTGCCTTAATTTTTTTGTTTATCCAAAATTCATTCAGGAGCAAGTTGTTTAATTTCAATATCATTCTGTGATTTTGTGAGATTTTCTTGGTATTGATTTTTATCTTTGTTCCATTGTGGCCTGTCATATTCTGTGAGCAGATGAGAAGAATTTACTTTCTTTAGATGATGTGTTGCATATACTATAAATGTCTATTAGTTTCAATTGATCAAGTGTCGAATCAAACTCCAGAATTTCTTTGTTAAGTTTCTGCCTAGATAATCTGTCAAACACTTAGTAGGGAGTTGCATTCCCCTACTATTATTGTGTGTCTACTTGAGTCTTATTGTAGGTCTAGCAGTAATTGTTGTATAACTCTATGTTCCCCAAAGTTGGGTGCATCTACATTTACGATAGTTAAGTCTTCTTGTTGAATTGAACCCTTTATCGTTACGCAATACCTTTCTTTGTTTTATTTTACTATTAATGATTTAAAGCTATTTTTTCTTAAAAGAGAAACAATTCCAGGTATGGTAGCTTGTGCCAGCACTTTCAGACTGAAGCAGTCGGATTGCCTGAGACCAGGAGTTTGAGACCAGCCGAGGCAACACAGCAACATACTGTTTGTACAAATTTTTTTAAAGAAACTATACAGGAGGGGTAATGTGCACAACTGTGGTCATATTTACTCAGGAGACATAGGTGGCATGACTGCTTGACTTCCGAAATTTGAGGTTACAGTGAGCTGTGATTCCACCAGTGTACGCTGTCCCAGGAGATAAAGTAAGATCCTCTGCATAAAATGAAAAAGTAAAGAAAAATAAAAAGATTTTAAGTTAAAAAAATAATTCCTAGATCTCCACTTCTTTAGGTTCACTTGAATATATATTTTTCTCCATTGATTAGGTTATATTTCCTGGTTGCTTTTACTTACTGTAGTTTTGTTAAGGTTTTGATCAATTAAGAAACCACTACCTATTTTATCCTTTATGAAAGAGCTTTATACATGGGAAAATTGACAACATTCAGCCACAGTAGTCATACTGGGAGCTTCTCCAATCTGTTGTCAAAATGTGTCTTCTTTGGACTACTGTATGTATTTTCTTGTTAATAAGGTTTACCTCTGTTTCCTCTTAGGAGCCTTTAGTCTCTTCCCTTCATCACTCTTGTAGGCACTACAGTCTCTGTTGTTGTAAGAAGCATTTATCTTTATTCTCAGTTGACCCAAGCTGTCATTTAAACTCAGTCTCTATTCTCATCAACACTAAATGTTAAAGGAAGCAATTTCCAGTCTTTAGATAACCCCGGTATAACTCAGTAAGTCAGAAGTTTGCATACGCATTTCACTCTTTTTTCTTTCCCAAAGGAGAATCATGGAATGGACAGATTTTTATCTAACTGCGCTGTTCTGTAGTGCACAAATGTGACCAAATTTTCTTCTAAATGTGGTTATGGTTGGCTTTTTTCTCATGTGGGGTGCTACAAACTCAACTGGCTTTGTTCACCCAATTGTAGTTAAGTTCATATGTCAATGGAGAGAAACAGGATCTCAGGTTCTGCTTCAACTGTCATTGTCTTCTCAGCTGACCTCATTTTGTACATTAGATTTATAAAATATATTTACTTTAATCTCATCACCGAATTTTTAAAAAAATTATTATTTTTCAGCTCTTTTAGCAATATATCCAATCAAGACCCAGAGAAAACAGTACATAGAAGCTTCTTTTCAAAAAGTAACATTGGGAAGATATGGGAGCTCTGGCCTTGAACTTTTACACTTAGGAGAGTGGGAAATTGAAGGATAAGTGTAAACGGCACAAAGTATGCTATGATGAATATACCAGATATACAGCAATTACCTACAGCAAAAATGTCACTGCTAGAAGAGCTCAAAACCATAAAGTATTTTGGAAAAAGCATAATTAATGTTGATTCTTTTTTCTGAACTATATATTTATATAATTACATACCAATAACAATTTTTGAAACATATCATGTTTTTGAAACAAAATTTAGAAAATCGCAATAGTGGCCTAGGCCAGGAATATTTCTTCTAATGCTATCCCTCCCATAGTCCCCCACTTCCCGACAGGCTCCAGTGTGTGATGTTCCCCTTCCTGTGTCCGTGTGTTCTCTTTGTTTAACTCCCTATTATGAGTGAGAACATGCGATGTTAGCTTTTCTACTCTTGTGTTAGTTTGCTGAGAATGGTGGTTTCCAGCTTCATCCATGTCCCTGCAAAGGACATGAACTCATCCTTTTTATGACTGCATCGTATTCCATGATGTGGACATGCCAAGTTTTCTTTATTCAGTCTATCATTGATGGTCATTTGGTTTGTTTCAAAGTTTTTGCTCTTGTGAACAGTGCCATAATAAACATACGTATGCATGTATCTTTATAATAGAATAATTTATAATCCTTTGGGTATATACCCAGTAATGTGATTGCTGGGTCAAATGGTATTTCTCATTGTGGATCCTTGAGGAATCACCACACTGTCTTCCACACTGGTTGAACTAATTTACACTCTCACCAACAGTGTATAAGTCTTCCTATTTTTCCACATCCTTTGTTGTTTCCTGACTTTTTTAATGATCACCATTCTAACAGGTGTGGGATGGTTTCTCACTGTGTTTTTGATTTGCATGTGTCTAATAACCAGTGATGATGTCCTTTTCTTCATTTGTTTATTGGCTGCATAAATGTCTCCTTTTGAGAAGTGTCTGTTCAAATCCTTTGCCCATTTTCGATGTTGTTGTTTCTTTTTTTCTTGTAAATTTGTTTAAGTTCTTTGTAGATTCTACATATCAGCCCATTGTCAGACGGATAGATTGCAGAAATTTTCTCCCATTCTTTAGGTTGCCTGTTCACTCTGATATAGTTTTTTTTGTTGTGCAGAAGCTCTTTAGTTTAATTATATCTCGTTTGTCAATTTTGGCTTTTGTTGCCATTGTTTTTGGTGTTGTAGTCATGAAGTCTTTGCCCATGCCTATGTCCTGAATGGTACTGCCTTGGTTTTCTTCTGGGGTTTTTATGGTTTTAAGTCTTATGTTTAAGTCTTTAATCCATCTTCAGTTATGTTTTGTATAACGAGTAAGGAAGAAGTCCAGTTTCAGTTTTTTGCATATGGCTAGCTAGTTTTCCAACACCATTTATTAAATAGGGAATCCTTTCCCCATTACTTGTTTTTGTCAGGTTCATCAAAGATCAGATGATTCTAGATGTTGAGTGTTATTTCTGAGGCCTCTGTTCTGTTCCATTTGTCAATATATCTGTTTTGGTACGAGTACCATCCTGTCTTGGTTATTGTGGCCTTTTAGTATAGTTTGAAGACAGCTAGCATGATGCCTCCACCTTTGTTCTTTTTGCTTAGTATTGTCTTGTCTATGCAAGACCTTTTTTGATTCCATATGAAATTTGAGGTAGTTTTTTTTCTAATTCTGTGAAGAAAGTCAACGGGAGCTTGATGGGGATAGCAATGAATTTATAAATTACTTTGGGCAATATGGCCATTTTCATAATATTGATTCTTCCTATCCATGAGCATGGATTGTTTTCGTTTGTTTGTGTCCTCTTTCATTTCCTTGAGCAGTGGTTTGTAGTTCTCCTTGAAGTGGTCTTTTACATCATTTTTAAGTTGGATTCCTAGGTATTTTATTCCCTTTGTAGCAATTGTGAATGAGAGTTAACACATGATTTGGCTCTCTGTTTGCCTATTATTGCGTATAGGAATGCTTGTGATTTTTGAACATTGATTTTGTATCCTGAGACTTTGCTGAAGTTGCTTATCAGTTTAAGGAAATTTTGGGCTGAGATGGTAGGGTTTTCTAGATATACAATCATGTCATCTGCAAACAAAGACAATTTGACTTCTTCTCTTCCTATCTGAATACGCTTTATTTCTTTCTTTCTTTGGCTGATTGCCAGAACTTCCAATACTATAATGAATAGGAGTGGGGAGAAAGGGTGTTCTTGTCTTGTGCAGGTTTTCAAAGGGAATGCTTCCAGTTTTTGCCCATTCAGTATGATATTAGCTGTGCATTTGTCATAAATAACTCTTATTATGTTGAGATAGGTTCCATCAATACATAATTCATTGAGAGTTTTTACCATGAAGAGGTGTGGAATTTTATTGAAGGCCTTTTTTGCATCTATTGAGATAATCATGTGGTTTTTGTCATTAGTTCTGTTTATGTGATGGATTTTATTTATTGATTTGCATATGTTGAACCAGCTTTGTATCCCAGGGATTAAGCTGACTAGATCGTGGTGGATAAGCTTTTTGATGTGCTGCTGGATTCGGTTTGCCAGTATTTTATTGAGGATTTTTGCATCGATATTCATCAGGGATATGGGCCTGAAATTTTCTTTTTCTGGTGTGTCTTTGCCAGGTTTTGGTTTCAGGATGATGCTGGCCACATAAAATGAATTAGGGAGGAGTACCTCTTTTTCTATTGTTTGAAATAATTTCAGAAGGAATGGTACCAGCTCCTCTTTGTACCTTTGGTAGAATTCGGCTGTGAATCCGTCTGGTCCTGGACTTCTTTTTGTTGGTAGGCTACTAATTACTGCCTCAATTTTAGAACTTGTTATTGGCCTATTCAAGGATTCGACTTCCTACTGGTTTGCACTTGGGAGGGTATATGTGTCCAGGAATTTATCCATTTCATCTAGATTTTCTAGTTAATTTGCAAAGAGGTATTTATAATATTCTGTAATGATACTTTTTATTTCTGTGGGATCAATGGTTATATCCCCTTTATCATTTCCTATTGCATGTATTTGATTCTTCTCTTCTTCCTTATTAGTCTGGCTAGAAGTTTATTTATTTTCTTGATCTTTTCAAAAAACCAGCTCCTGGATTCATTGATTTTTTGGACGGGCTTTTTGTGTCTCTATCTCCTTCAGTTCTGCTCTGATCTTAAATCTTGTCTTCTGCTAGTTTTTGAATTTGTTTGCTCTTGCTTCCCTAGTTTTTTTAATTGTGATGTTACGGTGTCGATTTTAGACATTTTTCTGCTTTCTCTTGTGGGGATTTAGTGCTGTAAATTTCCCTTTCAGACTACTTTAGCTGTGTCGTATTTTACTTTTTAAGCCCTCAATCTTTCTTTTTCATCATGATAGTCTTTACTGTTTTATGTTTATGTAATGTAAAATTGACTACACAATTTTTACAAAGATTTTATGAAAATATTTTATTGAGAATGTACAAACCTGTCAGTCAATTAGAGGAGAAGTTACACTGTCGTAATAAATAGCCACAAAGCAAAACCCCAAAAGACATCCAAATCAGAATAAAACAAAACATTTTAACAAAAACAAAAAGAACAAACTGGCAACAAGTATGTGAAGTTTATATTACAAAGATGCTCACTTATCCACTCTAAAGAGAGCTTTTAGAATTTGATTTAAAATATGGCAAAGACATTATCCCACACTTCACAGAAAAAATAAATTTAAGCAGCTGTTAACACATGAATGTATTATCAAGCTCAGATATAATCAAAATTAAATATTTGACAAGAGATTCTACAGTTTGGGAGAAATAGAAGTGTTTTTTTCTTTTCCCCAGGCCCACAAGTCTAGTTTCTTGCTCTTCTTCACTATAATGGGGTTTGTCATCAGCTCCCCAAAATATGGGAAGCACAGAGCAGGTGGTGGCTGAAGGTGGGGTATCCTGTGAAACCATATTTAAGATCAGAGCCCTTGGTCCATTGTGTTGTAATCAGCTGGCTCAGGAAAGAACACCTGGCTGTCCAGAGCTCTACACCTACTGCACTGGGTGTGAAAGGAGGCCTGAGAACCCATGGGTCCCAAACCCACCCCACTCCAAATTATCATCCAGTATTGAGAACTCTGACACCAAATTCTCACAGAGCATATGTTTATGCAGTTTTACATTTAATTTCTCATTACATTACAATTGGGAAACTGAGGCCCCAGAAGAGGCAGAGACTGGTCCAGATCTCAGGAGGTGGGCAGGCTCCAGAGCATTAGAGAGGGCTCCAGCTTCCTAGGCCTTGGCTCCGTCCCACTTATCAGGTTTGTTTTCGAAATTAGAGTCTGTAGCTACACATTCAGGAGCACAGAAAATGAGCAGATTCAGGGTTCTGTTCACATGGGGTCCTCTCCATGTCAGTTTCAAGATAACAGGACTGGGGTTCTGCATCCAGCTCTCAGGGCAACTGGAAGTAAAATGAGCTATGCTCCACCTCAGCCTAATGTAGACAGTGCCTACAGGAAAGCCTGTTTTCTTCCTCATAAATAGGGGTGCCTGAAGTGGGTGACCTTGATGATTTCACATACTCATAAGTGTCTGCCAGCCTGGATTCTTGCTCTGAGACTGCAAAAATGCACCCACTCTGCAGATCCTTCAAATCAGAGGGAGGCATGGCCACTTGAGAGGCATCTTGGGTAGATGAAGATGAGACAGAGTTAAATGTGCCAGAGCACTGGACTCTGAGGCTGAGGTCCACGGAAAATCTAAGCTACTGTTGCATTCTTAAGGTCCTCATTTGAAAGTGGTAGAAAATAATTTCACTGGATAAGGGGAGGATACCTCATGAGTAAATAGCACAACCAAAAAGGTGGAGGCAAAGAGAGGGCAAAACGGGATTCCTAGGTCACTCATTATACTTGGGGCCTTCAGATCCTGCTACTTTATCCCCTAGGACCTTGAAGAACCAGTGTCTTGAGGACAGAAAAATCAAGGTATCAGATTTGTTCAGTAGTGCTCCTGCTTGGGGCTGTAGGGTTAGTGATGGCCAGGAGGTGGTTACAGCCTACTGTGTTTCTGGTGCCCACTGAGCTTTGCTGGAGCAGCTGGAACAAGTAACAGTCACACACCTCATGTTGTTATCAGTGATGTCCACATTATCAGGTGGTCAAAAGGGGAAGGGATATTAGGGATCCCCCATATAATCACTTAGCCAGTCTTTTTTCCCTTGCGCTCACCATTTGCCAGCTACCCTGGTGGGTCCAACATGTGGTACAGAAAATTATTACATCATGTCTGCACCCCCCAACCCAGGACCAAACAGTCTGAGGACCGCTGGACAAAAGCACTAAAGCAAGTATATGTGAAAGAAAAGAGCAAGGACTATAATATAAAGTAGATTATTGAGAAGAAAACCTGGAAAATTATTGCATGGGAGGACCTCAGGCCTCACTGAGGTGACTTTTAATCCATGATGAGGATGACAGCAGGGAGGCATCTGCACAAGCATGTGTCAGGGAGAAGCCACCCTTAGTGAAAAAACTCATAGGTGTGAGTTTGGCAGAGGTAAAAAGGGACTAATTTGGCTGCAGACAGCCTGAGAAAGAGATAAGCAGAGGGATGGAGAATCCTAGGGCCTGGGAGATGAGGTTAGATATCTGCTCCTTTCTGACAACATTGCCCTAAAAGTCGGCACTTTTCAACAACATATAATATCTCATAATTTGTGTGGACCAGAATCTGGACACAGTTCAGCTGGCTACCTCTGCCTTCAGGTCTTTTATGAGACTGGGGGCTGTGGTCTTAACTGAAGCTGGACTGGGAAAGCATGAGCCTTTAAGCTGACTCATGTGAAAATTGACAGGGTTTAATGTGGACAGAGAGCCTGACTTTCCTTCTCTCTACTCGTCTGAGCACCGCCTCACCCTTTGTTATGTGGGTCTCTACATGGAGCATCTCATAGCATTGGAGCTTGCTTCCTGTGTTTGAGGAATACAATAGACAGAATTAGACAAAAAGGTTTACACAAAAAGAGACAGAGAGAAAGATGGAGGGCGCAAACGAGAAAAACCCAGTAGGAGAAAAATTAGAGCTTTAAAAAAATCTTGACAGGGTGCGGTGGCTCACACCTGTAATCCCAGCACTTTGGGATGCTGAGACGTGTGGATCGCCTGAGGTCAAGGGTTTGAAACCAACCTGGACAACATGGTGAAACCACCGTCTCTTCTAAAAATACAAAATGAGCCAGATGTGGTGGCGCATGCCTGTAATCCCAGCTACTTGGGAGACTGAGGCAGGAGAATCAATTGAACCTGGGAGGCGAAGGTTCCAGTAAGCCGAGATCACACCACTGCACTCCAGCCTGGGATACAAGAGTGAAACTGTGTCTCAAAAAAAAAAAAAAAAAAAAAAGAAAGAAAGAAAGAAAAAAAACTTGAGAGTTACTATAATTTTTCTTCTATATTTGTGTTAAAATTGTAACCCCGGGCGTAATGCTATAAGGAGGTAGAAAGTAATTAACCCCTTAGGGTGGGACCCTCATAATACAGATTACTGGCTTTATACAAGAAACCGCAGAGGGCTCTCATCCTCCTGCAAAATGAGGGTAAAACCTGAAGTGTGCAGGCTGAAATTCAGAAGCCAGTCATCACCAGATCTCAACCATGCTGACACCCTGATCTCAAATTTGAACCTCTGGAGGTATGAGAAATTAAGTCCTGTTGTCTATATGCTGCCTATCTATGGTTCTTTGGCATAGCAACCTGAACTAATACAAAAGGGATATCCTTTTCTGTGTTTCATTGTAGAGAAGCTGAATTTGTACCCCCTATACTGTTAAAAAAAAGACTTAAAAAATGGATCTTCAGAATGAAAGATAGGAAACGGCTTGTTGAAACACTAAAATTTTAACTGCTATAAGTTTTTTAAACATTGGCTGAAATTGTTGGAACCAATATGGCCAACTGAAGTCCATGAAGCATCAGTTTGCAGACTTTGGAGCCCAAATTTCCATTGTGTGCTTCATACTAACTCTCCCTGAATTTGTATGTGACCTGTGAGGAAACAAGAAGAGATGACTGTATATGTCTCATGACTTTCCATATTCCTACTTTCCTTCCAGCAATCCCCTACAGAACCCACCTATTAGGCCTTTTCTAATCACTGCCTTAAAGCCAGTATGACAAAACAAATTTGATTTGAACTCCTATCTCCTTGTTAGCCAACATACAAGATGATATTTTCCTCAAAACCGAAGGGCCATAGTACTGGCATCAGGAAGTATTCCATTTTATTCAATAAAAAACTGAGTCACTCAATACCTAGTACTGGGAGACTTTGTGAAGACTTCCTCTGTCATAGATGTGATAAGGCACATGGATATGATTCTAAATATAAAGAGAAAGCACTAGAAAGTTGAATTCCTGTATTAGATCATTCTCATACTGCAATGATGGAGTACCTGAGACTGGGTAACTTATAAAGTAAAGAAGTTTAATTGACTCACATTTCCACATAATTGTGGGGGCACCTCAGAAACCTTCCAATTACAGTGGCTGACAAGTGAAGTGAGTGAGAGCATGGGATGTACCAGATGCTTATGAAACTATCAGATCTCGTGAGAACTCACTATCACAAGAACAGCATGAGGAGAACCCGTCCCCATAATCCAATCATCTCCCCTCAGGTTTTCCCTTAACACCTAGGGGTTATAATACACAATGAGTTTTGGGTGGGGACGCACAGCTAAACTATATGAATGCCAGAGGACAGTATCTACATTTAATTTCAACTTCATACTGGAGCAGAATGAAAATGAGGCCCAGTGGAGAAGTGATATTTCCAAGATCACCCTGGCAGACACCAGGCCTGTTTGAGTTGTGGCCCATGCTACCTCCCACCTATTCTCCTAATGCTTCCATCTCTAAGTGTGTGCATTATCTACAGGTGACACTACATCATTATTTTTATGTCTTATCTTTTTTTTTTTTTTTTTTTTTTTTGAGACGGAGTCTCGCTCTGTCGCCCAGGCCGGACTGCGGACTGCAGTGGCGCAATCTCGGCTCACGGCAAGCTCCGCTTCCCGGGTTCACGCCATTCTCCTGCCTCAGCCTCCCGAGTAGCTGGGACTACAGGCGCCCGCCACCACGCCCGGCTAATTTTTTGTATTTTTAGTAGAGACGGGGTTTCACCTTGTTAGCCAGGATGGTCTCGATCTCCTGACCTCATGATCCACCCGCCTCGGCCTCCCAAAGTGCTGGGATTACAGGCGTGAGCCACCGCGCCAGGCCACTGTCTTATCTTATATACACCTAATACATTCCCTAGGAAGTAGATGTTAGCATCATCACCACTGTGCATGTTAGGAGGCTGGGGAAGCCTTGAATACAGTGACTTTTACTGGGTCCCAGAGATGGTAAGAAAAACAAAGTTATGTTCCAGCTGTCTCTTCTCTCCTGGAACCCAGGTTGCATTTAGGTCTTTCCAGGGAATTAAGGGGAAGTTGTGTTTGCATAATTGTGTACAAATAAAGAGTTGACATGGAAGAGGAGACTGAGCAATCAGTAGCATAGTGGGGCCTTTCGGTATGTCTTACAGAAACATAGGGCCCAGTAGATGGAACCTTGAAGAGTTTAACACACTTTCTTGGTGTCAGAACCCAACAGCAGTTAAGAAACCAGGAATCCACATTCTTGAGACAGCTCTGTATCCACCTCTGTTTGTGAGAGTTGCTCAAGAGAGTGAGATGCTCTTTCATTGTGCCCTGAAATTTCTGAGTTTCAGCCTTACAAAGGCTCAATGTAAAAGTCTTATCTGATAACACAGATGTCAACTGAGCCCTCATCACTGATGTCCCTGGCTATTGGCCGGGTGCACCTACAAATAACACAGGGCAGCCCAGGACAGGCCCCTCCAAGCCATCCTCTCTTGTCAACTCATCTGGGCAGTTCCACACCACTTCTTAGTACCATGAGTTGGATGGGGAGCAAGAGGGAGGGCACTCTTCTTGGACTGAAGTAGATTGTCGGGTGTTGGAACTCTTGTGTACCTGTCATGTTCATACCTAGGCCATAGCTGGCAGAATAAAAAGAAGAGGGTTGGAGAATGAGTCTGTGTACTCAGATGTGAATTCCAAGACTTTAACTTGTCCTCTGGTTTCCTTCCTTCATGGAGATTTATACAGATTCTCCTTATGTGCCTAATCTGAAGAGCAGAATTTCTTTTATTTTCTTTTTTCTTTTTTCCTTTCTTCTTTTCTCTTTTCTTTTCTTTCTTTCTCTTTCTTTCTTTCTTCTTTCTTTCTTTTTTTTCTTTCTCTTTCTTTCTTTCCATCTCTCTCTTTCTTTCTTTCTTTCCTTCTCTCTCTCTTTCTTTTTTATTTATCATGAAGTCTCACTCTGTTACCCAGGCTGGAGTGCAGAGAAAAGCAGAATTTCTAATGGAGGTGTCACATACGGTCAAAGCAAGGCAGAACACAGACTTTTCTTTGCGTGGTTTCTAGGCACATTTACAAAGCTGCATTCAGATTGATGAGGAGCTTCATCATTCAGTTTAATGTGGCCAACTCCTCCCTCTTTTTGGAAAAGAGCAGGTGCACTAAACCAGCAAACACAGCCAGCACTGGGCTGTGCTGAGAGCAGCCACATAGGGGTCTCTACAGACAGAAACCCGAGAAGACCGGGAAAGAACCAGGACCCAGACTCAAATATGAAAAATCTCTGGGCTTTGTCCTACGGCCTTCCCATGAGTAACTCATAGCCTTGTTCCAGTGGAATCTGGCCTTCACTAGTCTCAGTGGCAAGTTGGTTATGTGGAAAGTCTCTCTTCACACACTTGTGCGAATAACGATAAAGAATTTTGTATTGTTTTCACTCTACATTAGACCATGAGTATTTATGCCTGTGGCTGCAGTTTGTATTAGTTTCCGGCCCCAGGTATCTCCTGCAGCATGCAGCTTCAGTCCTATCGGACCCTCAAAACTTAAAAGCTAACACTATTACTAGGGAGGATTTCGCAGGAAAATGGTGAGAGGGTTACACACAAAAAAGGTTAAACTACTCTATGCATGTTTCTGCAATGTGTTATCTCAGGAACTCATTTCTGTAGCCCATCAGGGCAGGAGCTGGGCTCTCACCTGTTGATAATATTCCATAAGGGAGGTTCTTCCCCACAGTGTTTAGTCTTCCAACGCTGGTACAGCCTGACATGATGACATTCTACTTTCATGTCGGTCATGCTGCAGGGAAAATTCTGTGAGTGTCCTAATAGGCTGGAATAATTTGCTAGGGTGAACCCCATCTTTGGTGCTCACTTTTCTGTTATCTTGTAATTAGCTTTATTCTCAGCAAATCCATGTCTATTTTATTTATCTGTTTATTTACTTATTTTTATGTATGGAAAAACACTTTTTTTTATTTACTTATTTATTTAGAGACAGGGTCTCCGTCTGTTACCCAAGCTGGAGTACAGTGGTAGAGTGCTGTGATCATGGCTCATTGCAGCTTCAAACTCTTGGGCTCAAATGATTCTCTCACCTCAGCCTCCTGTGCCACCATGCCCTGCTAGTTGATTTTAATTTTTTATAAAGAAGGAGACTCATTAGGCAGCCCAGGCTGGTCTCAAACTCCTGGGCCCAAGCAATTCTCTCATCTCAGCCTCCCAAAGCACTGGGATTAAAAACATGAGCCACTGTACTGAGCTGTGCCTACTTCAAAAGACTGAAAATAAAAAATCAATAAATCTTTGCCAAATTAAAAAACAAAACAATAGTTTCCAGGTCTTAGACAAAGACAATTCTGTGTCATGAAGGTGGCAAAAGGCTTATTTAGCTGTTAAAATGATTTGCTTATATTTCAAAGAAGCAGAGAAAAAAAGATACATATAAAAGTTTTCCAGGCCAGGCACGGCTGTTCATGCCTGTAATCCCAACATTTGGGGAGGCCAAGGCAGGAGGATATCTTGAAGCCAAATGTTTGAGTCCAGTACAGGCAACATGGTGAAATTCTGTCACCATAAAAAAATAAATAAAATAAATATGGCTGGGCATGGTGGTTCACGCTTGTAATACCAGCACTTTGGGAGTCGGAGGCAGGTGGATAATGAGGTCAGGGGTTCGAGACCAGCCTGGCCAAAATGGTGAAACCCTTTCTCTCCTAAAAATAATAACAATAAAAAATCAGCCAGGCATGGTGCTGTGCGCCTGTAATGCCAGCTACTCAAAAGGTTGAAGCAAGAGAATTGCTTGAACCTGGGAGGTGGAGGTTGCATTGAGGTAAGATCATGCCACTACACTCTAGCCTGACCCACAGAGCAAGACACTGTCTTGAATAAATAAATAAATAAATAAATAAATAAATAAATAAATAAATAAAGTTAGCCAGGCCTGGAGGTGCATGCCTATAGTCCTAGGTAATTAAGAGGTTGAGGCAGGAGGACTGCTCAAACCCAAGAAGTTAAGGTTATAGTGAGCTATGATTATGCCATTGCACTTCAGACTAAGCAAAAGAGTAAGATTCCATCTCAAAAAATTACTAAAAAAAGTTCTCTAAATTACATTGTTTAAGAAAAGGGAAAAGAAAAAATATCTTTTTTAATTTTCAAATGGGAGGATAGAGCCTCTCATTTCTAATATGTATTTCCTTCTGCAAAAACATGGCCTAGGCCCATGGTCTTGAACTACTGGACATCTGAATTTTAGTAGGTGCTGGATTCAGGCAACTGAGGGGTGGCTTGGACACACTAAGTGCACGTAAATAAAAGGTTTGAGGTGAACTAAAAGGTAAAAGAGGGGAAGGTGCTATTAAGAACCCACAATTGGGAGACATTACAGGGTTGGTGGAAGGACTGGTTCATGCTACAGATACTGACCCAGGTGAAACTTTACTCTGACTTATTTCTGTGTCCATGCAGGAAGACGAGATTATGATCAGGTGGCACAGAAACCTGGGATGGTGAAAAAACCAGGTTGCCCGTGCAGATTCGGTGTCTGAGGTAGAGCATATGCCAGGGGTCTTGTAGGCACGTGTGTGGGTTTTTGGTGGGAAAGTCTATGAGGAAAGGTAGCATGGGCCACAATCTTGATGCCGAAGCCCTGTGCTGGGAGGGGCTTGACCACGTCAACATGCAGTGTGTATGTTCAGTGGGTGAAAAACATGTGGTGGCCTCAGGTTGGCAGGAGGGTAGAAGGCATCTGTTCTCAGAACTTCTTCCCTCAGAGTCGTCGGTCCTTCTTACCATGGGAGGATGCCTGGAACCACAGGGCAGTGCATGGTGTAGCAGCCTGTGTGCAGAGCAGAGCCTACCTTCCCCGAGACACCTGGAGTCTCTCTCCAGCAGAGGCCCCCACATTGTCTTTCTTTTTATGTTTTTGATCCTAAATGTGTAAAGTTCCCTGAAAACCCACTGATTCTCCAACACCCATTTGTTGCCTCAAAATTTAATTCTGACACAACTTAGAGTTCGCACAGACCCCACAAATTCAGGGCTCAGTCCCACATCACCTCTCTCACTGTAGAGGAGAGTTACACATCCCTGAAGCCCATCTACACTTCTGAGCTACCTCCTATAAATCTGAGACTAGCATAAAACCCTTTTCAAGTTAAATAATTTGATAGAATTACTAAAAAGAAAACCTCAACAAATAACTGTAATTATATTTACTACTTTATTATAAAAATATAACTCAGAAACAGCCAAATGGAAGAGATGTCTAGGGCAAGGAACAGTTGTGGGTGAAGGTAATCCTGGAAATAGCTATATTTAAAGAAATTCCCCCATTCTTTGCATTCTCAAAGAACAGCTTAGTGAAGAGAAATGTGCTTCCCGTGATGACTTTGAGGATGCTCCCTGCTGTTTTTTTAACCTATCACAAAAATGGACACAGGTTGCAAATTCCCATTTTTAAAAATCAACAACCATTCAGTAATTTAGTCTTCAGTGGTCAAAATAACATACTCTTTACAGAAACTTTGCTTGTTTCTCTTCTTCCAAACAGCCCCTGAACTTTGACTCACCCACAGCTTCAGCAAACCTACAACCCTTATTTATACATAACCCTCCTAAGAACAGGCTGAGTTCAAGGTGAAACATTATCTTATCTGGGATCTCATTTTGCTACCCTCCATCCTGTGCTTCCTTTCCAACCTTCTTTGTAAACTTGTTTTCTCCTCCCTATGAAATAAGGCACTTTTCCACCTAACCTTAGAGATACTCAAAGATCTAATCATTTGTACTTTTTCTTTGTTGCAATACTTCTTAGGTAACTTCTTAGACCAAGTCTAGAAACAGTCTGAGGACAATAACAATTCCATTCTAAAAAGAATCTCCCAACATTTCTTCTATCTCTACCTCAACTGCATCTGCCTGTGAACTTCCAGCTTACCAAGGCTCTATATCTTCTGGCAGTGACAAAGGCTCCTTCCATGATTGGTGTGAGTAGGCTTGGACACCTGCAGGGCAGACACCCAGGAATAATCAACTGAGCCTTCAGTGGTCCTCTTTTGCTGGGTCAAGGTGGGCCTTAGCTTTTAGTCGATGGTCTAAGACTTCTACTTACCAGTTAGTCATTCAGTTAGTTTCCAATTCAAAAAATACTTCATGTTTGAAGAATCCAGCAAAAATTATTCAAATCTAAGGTATAAAAGAGAGGAAATTACAGCCGGGCATTGTGACTCATGCCTGTAATCCCTGCATTTTGGGAGGCCTAGGTGGGCAGATGACCTGAGATCAGGAGTTTGAGACCAGCCTGACCAACATGAAGAAACCCCGTCTCTACTAAAAATACAAAATTATCCAGGTGTGGTGTTGTATGCCTGTAATCCTAGCTACTCGGGAGGCCGAGGCAGGAGAATCGCTTGAACCCAGGAGGTGGAGGTTACAGTGAGCAGATGTCTTGCCATTGCACTCCAGTCTGGGCAACAAGAGTGAAACTACATCTAAAAAATAACAGAATAAAATAAAATAAAAACATTATAAGGGGCTTATATCTTATAATTCATCAAGAAAAGCCAAAGTATCTATCCCTTTCAGAAAATAAACATGTAATTTAATTATGTTCATAACAAATCATTTAGTAAACAATCATATGTGAACACTTCCAGGCGGTGCCAAGTCCCAGCTCCTAAAACTTAGCGTTACCCTCAAACACCCAGATGACAGCATATGAAACAGAGATATTCACTATCAGAAGTTCTCTGTTTTGAAAAAAGAATAACTGATGTGATAAATTTATGTAATTTAACAATTAATCTACCTCACGTGCTTGTAGGTATGTATTCATTTCCTACCACCGTAGTGGAAGAGAGACTATCCCTATCTATACACCTGGTAACATTCCCAACAGTAAGCCGTGAGATTCTGCTTGAAATCACCTCTCAGACAAATAAAAAACAGTCCTGGGAAATGTACAACACTCATTCTGCTAAAGAAATAGGCAAGTAACAATTTTTAACAAGTGAAATATATTACTACTTAATTTTATTCAAAATTCACCAACTTAATGTGCTTTATAAATATTCTCATACCTTTGAAGCTCTACTGATAAAACATAATTTACAGTTAATGAAAAAGTGAAGTTAAAATAAATACAATCATATTTTCAAGGTGACAAAATTAGAAGGTGACAATGCTGATTGAAACACAGACATATCTGACCCAAGGGTCAAGTCAAGCCGTTCTATTACTTGGGATATTTTCCCTGCTCCTATCTGGTTCAGTGATGTGGGTCATGAGCGTCCTACCAGGAGCTGCTACGCTCTGCTCCACTGTGTCTGTAAGGTGCATTTTACTTTGCAGGTTTTTGCACTGCCTCACTAGGTTGGGTTTCTTTATCCTTTGAAATATTTTCTCTCCCTTCACCAATCTGAGGACATTTTTTCCTCAATATCAGCATCCAGTTGCCTGGCCTGCAATGTGTCTCTAAGGAATGGAAACTAAGCGTTGGGGTAAGAAATTCTTAATGTCCTAAGGGGTTTGCTTTTAACGCAAAGGTATACGTGGAGATTCCTTCCAGGTATAGTGCATCCAACCACTCCAAAAAGAGGCTGCATTCCCATACCTTGGGCTGTTCCCTGAGAGGAGATGACACAAGGGATGCTATTTACTAGACACTTCAAGAGTCATGGCCAGTGTTGGTATCTTGGGGATTCTCAAGCAGTTTTGAAACCCAAAACCAAGAAAATAACACAGGATGGCTGAGGATGTATTGCCCTGTGAGGTTTCAGAAATGAAACCTCAACCCAAAGACATTCTGATGGGGTGTCTGTGCCAAGGCAAGATTAAAGAAAGGGGCACAAATATTTTCTTTTCTTTTCTTTTCTTTTTTTTTTTACTGTGGATTGTCAGGGGATTATTATCTGCTTTCATGTCCTGTAAAATGTTTACAAATGAAAAATATTTTTTTAAGTGCCATCCACTGCTTTTTGAAAAAATGCAGAATTAAAATACTGTGTCTAAAATGTACAATAAAGAACAGTTGATAATGTTGTGAGTTACACAAGGTTAGTTAGTGTTGGTAAGTGTCAGGAAAGAACTGGAAATTTAAACTCTGACTGCAAGCAAGAGTTAGGCTGGGGTAACAGGGTGGTAGATTTGAGGCTCTTCTTGCCACACATTTGGAAAATGCATGAGAAAACGAATTCTTTTTTGGAGCATTAAAACAACTAAAAAACAGGCGATTGCATTGAGGTGGCTCTAGTGTACTGACCTCTGAGTGGAGAGACAGGCAAAGGCATCCCTAGATCCAAAAAGCTGTCCATTCTTCTCCAGCTGTGCACCTGATTAGATAATTTCCACTCCAGCACCCGTGACTGGATATAGTTCAATTCCCCACCAAGCCCCCTCAGGCCATGAGTGACATATGTGATTTGACACTGGATTGAATAAAGCAAGAATTATAGGTTTTTCCAGGATCCTTTTCTGGCAGGGCTTCCTTCATGCACTGGACACTGGCCCTGCCTGTAAAATACTTGCATTTTCATTTGTGTGTAAGATTATTTGTATTTATGAAAAATATATATGTGTTATTCATACATGGAAGCAATATAATGACAATTATTTTAAAATTTCAGATTTTTTACTTTCCTGGCACATCCAGGTTTTAGAGCAGGCAGCCTGAGATTTCAAAAATGAGGCAATTCTCTAAGAAATAATATGTGAGGCACATGTGAATTTTAAATATTCTAGTAGCTACATTTTAATAAATACACCAGGCATGGTTGCCTGTGCCTGTAGGTTGAAATGTTTGGGAGACTGATGTGGGAGGATCATTTGAGGCAAGGAGTTTGAGACTAGCCCATGCAGCATAGAGAAAGCCATCTCAACAACAACAACAAAAAAAAAAAATTGAAAAATTAGCCACGCCTGGTGTATGCCTTCAGTCCCAGCTACTCAGAAGGCTGGAGCTGGAGGATCACCTGAGCCTGGGAGGTCAAGGCTGCAGTGAGCCATGATCACACCACTGCACTCCAGCCTCACTGACAGAACAAAACTCTGACTCAAAAAACTGATCTCTGGAAAGGCATTTTCTTTTTCTGCAACGTAGCCAAATAGCTAAATTTGTATTGAAGCCATCCTTTAATTTTTAACAGAGCAAGAATATTTTCTAAGACCCTGAACTCCAGATATGTGATGGGGCAAATCCTGAAGCGTACATGGCTGTCTCTCACAGCTAAAGCATCCCTCACCCCTATCCAGCGCTTCTTACCCCTGGCGCAAGAGAATCACCTGCGGGGAGGAAAACTTTCAAAATCCCTTAAACCCAAGTTGTAACCGCTCAATTAAATCAGAATCCTTGGAGCTGGATCTGAAAAAAATACGGTTGAAAGTCGTGCAGGTGATTACAATGTGTAGGCAAGCCAGAAAACCATGGCTTTAACGAGCAGCTTTTGTTAGAAATGATTTCTCAAATGAATGTAAAAACGTTTGCTGCTGAATTGTGACCTTTCAATTTTACCTGCTTTTCCTGCAAAGTATATTTTGCAGACCCAGGCTGGCTTCTCCTTCTGTTCATGGTTCACCCAGTGCCGTGTGTGCTCAGTGCATCCTGTGCACGGGTCACTGTGCTGTGTGCGCTGGCCGGGGTGAGCATCATTCTTCGGGGAGAACCTTTCTGAAAACAAAGCTGCAATCCAAAAAGTTAAAACCATGCTACTTACTGTACTGAGGTAAAAATTAAAAGACCTAGGGGACTCTTCCAAAAGTTAAAACGTAAATAAATATCTTGGAACATTAATATACACCTGACGATGTCCTGAGTGAACACGCCCCACTTTAAAACAAAACAAAACATTACTATTATTCTAAAATATTAATTTAGGATTGTTATGCAAATATGTACTATTTAAATATTTATTGATGAATAACATGCATACAGCAATATAGGAACAAAATATTTATGGAATGCTTGATGAATTATTACTAAATAAATACACTTGTGTATGTAAGAATCAGATTTGCTCATGCCCTTGACACTTTCTCCTTCCCAAAGGTAACCAAGACCTTAAGAGCTAAGTGTAGATAAACTTTGTCATTTTCTACACGTGTTTTATTACAGAACATTAAAAACGTATACATAATACAAAAAAAGGATAACAGACCAGTCACCCAGATTTAACAGCTACTAGTCATGTGTCATTTTTGTTTCACCTATACTTCCAGCCATTCCCACCCCAATTTCATTATTTTTTAGCCTTTTTGGATAAAATGTATATTCATTGCAAGGTACAATGTGAACTGTGAATAGTAGAGAGATGGGGTTTCACCATGTTGACCATGCTAGTCTTGAACTCCTGTCCTCAGGTGATCCACCTGCTTCGGCTTCCCAAATTGCTGGGATTACAGGCATAAGCCAATATACTCAGCCTGAGAATTTTTTCATACTTCTAAGAAAGTACAAATCCATAGGGCACATGAGAATTGCAATGTCTATCTACAGTAAATACAGTTTGATAAATAAAATGAAAGGCAATTGACCTAAGGTGAAAAGAAAAACAAAAAACAATCAAAGCATGGGTACTATGTGTCATCTGTAAGAGCATTTGGTTAAGAATAACAAACAAACCAGTTTTATCGTTTTAATAGCCGAAATTGGCAAAATTTCTAGTTTTTCTTTCATAGGAATGCTCTTTGCAAGAAAAAATTTTCATATAGTGAGAGCAAAAATGGCAACCATTTGCAAGTAAATGTCTTATGAAATTAAGTAGCAGATATCAAGCTCATGACCTTCAGATAGTTACCCCAACTCAATCACTTACATAGCAAGTGCAGATAATTTTCATAGCTCCCTATTAAAATTATATTTGAATGCCCTTACAAATTGTGACTGTTTTTAAATAAAGTTGACCAACTAAAATTTTGTATATGACATATGATAAATTCCCCTTCAAGTCACCTTACATTTACTTAATTTTATTAGGCAGTGTCTGTCTACCACCCAATAATACTTGACGATTCTCCCTCCATTTGCACAGGCATCATAGCTGGGAAACGGATTCACAAGACCCAGGCTGTTCCCTACATATGTTTCCTCCTCCGACATCAGTTCATCAGTCAATCAAGCCATGTGAGAGTGGAGGCCTTGTATTCCCTATTATTCTTGGGCACTCTACTCCAAGTAGGAAAAGGCCAGGAGGTCCTGTTAAAGGATGCACTCAGAGCCTGGGCTCCCTAACATATGAGAGTGCTAACCAGCAGGTGTAGACTTTTCAGGAGTGAAGAATGAGGCAGGCATTCCAAAACTGGACCTTCATCACCTTTTGTTTCATCTCAAGACAATTCTGAGGGACTGTTTTGGAGCGTGTCTGGAAGGTGAACCTTGAAGAAGAGTGTGGGCTTTGATGTGACTCAGTTGAGATCTTTCATGGGGAGGCAGGAATTCAATGCCCAGAATCTGGGCTGGTGTCTTTGAGGTCAGTAGGTTGCGTCTTTGTATCCAAGTCCATTGTTACTAGGTTGGAGGCTGGAGATTCTAAATGGCTTCCAGACTATCTCTCTGATTCTCTTTGGGAGATGGGGTCTGAAAGACAATGTCAGTAGTTTTGGGAAATTCTAGAAAGTGTGCTTGGAAACGTGGGAAGAGCTCTTGCCTAGTGCCTAAATGCTCCATTTGCAGCTCTAGCCAAGTAGATACTTGGTAGGTATAGAGCCGGGTTTGCGTTTATATCAGCAAAACCTATGTCAGAGTTGAAGAAGTAGTCAGGAAAAAGCGTCTTGGTCGCAGGCCGGGGAACATCTTAAAAGCAAACTTCTAGCCTGCTGACTCTTGGCAATGAGTGTTGGATCCTGGCTAAAGTGCCTTGAATGCAGCATGAGGCCAATCCATGAATCCAACTTCTCATGGAGAAATGTTAATATTTTTTCAGTTTGAATCAATCAGGGTGAAACTACCATGCTATTGGTTTGCTTACTTTTTATTATTTCATGTAAAATCTAAGACAAAATACATTAAATGCTTATTGACATATGTATTTATTCTTCACCAGGCTGATAATATCTGCCTAATTTTAAACTTTCTTCCATTTTGTAGGTTTCAACTTATTCTATTGTAAGATACTGTTAAATCTAATAGAGGCATTGTCACTTTTACGTATAATTTTATTTTATTTCATATATTTCCTATTGGCTTTTTACATTTAAATTATGGAGCACTTCATCATATAAAAAACTTCAATTATATTTAAACAGTAAGTCTTTGGATTTTTTTGCCTTGTAATTTCCATATTACATAATAATGAGATAAACATTAATGTTTTCAGGGTACTTTAAATTTTAGATAATTACTCATTGTATTCATGTGAAATTTGTTTTTACTGCATGTGTGGGTTGGAGGACTGTTTTCACTTCTGATTCATCTTTACTCTTATCTCATCAGAGCTCATACCTCTTGTAGTTGGGGGATTGCAGTTTATAATTCCAATAAATGGGGCAAATTCAATAATAACATAATACAAATGAGTTTGAATGCAGGACAGGTCTTCAAAGCATACACAACATGGGCCTACATATGTACAACAATAATAATTTATAAGTTACTGTTTGGATGGAAAGTAAAAGTACAGAAAATTTGTTAAAGGAAATTAAAATGGAGATCATGTCTCAATAATCTCTGAGCAGACAAAATTAGTTAGGTCTCATAAGTGATCTCAACCTCGCTTGATTTGCAAATACAAACAAAACTTACATTATTTCTTGTAGCTGCATATTGAAAAAAGAGAAATGAAGCTCAACCAGTCAGAAGTAGCCAACAACCTTATATAAATAGAAACTGTCCAACAAGGTAAACAGACAAACAAAAAACAATAAAAAAAGTTGTGCTACCACCAAATGATTTCTTTGTTTCTACATTTTTCAAATAAATACTTGCTTCTTACACTGTCAATGAAGCACTCAATATCTTTCCGTCTGATATTTTATAATTTATCAAATGCTCTTACTCAAATAAACACTTTGCAATTTCATTGTGTCTCAAATTACTTTTTAGCAGAATAAACTAGGAATAAATATTACAAAAATATCTACGGAATATGGAAAAAACATAGAAAGTTTATGAAATATATGAATGTAGACATAAGCAAATAGACAATTTGTATCATATTCTTAGGCAGAAAAACTCAATATTATCAACATCAATTGTCCTTATAGTTATTTATAAATTCAATTTTGTTCCTATACTGATACCATTAAATATTGCAAGTACACGTTACTATAAAATGTTATATAGATGAAAACACAAACAAGAATAGACAAGAAAACTCTGAAAAAAAAAAAAAAACCACTGGCAAGCCCTGTGTAAAATCTTGATTGATTAAAAAACTCATGGATCACTGAAACTAAAAATTCAGAAATAAACCAAAGTGTCTAAGAAAGTGTCATAGTGCATCTTGGCTGCTATACCAAAATAGCTTAGACTGGGTAAAGGATAAATAAGAGAAATGTATTTTTCACAGTTATGGAGTCTGGAAAGTGCAAGATCAAGGCAGCAGCAAATTTCGTATATGGTGAGAGCCCTATTCCCCATAGATGGTACCATCTCGCACATGGGACAAGGGCATTCCCTTCAACTTCCTTTGAAAGAGCACTGATTCCATTCATGAAGATGAAGAACTCTTGGCTTCACCACTTTCCCAAAGGCCTCACGCCTAAAATTATACACATGAATTTGAAAGGGGACATAAACATTCAGGCCATAGCAATAAAAACTACATGGGTGATGGCATCATTTATACATGAGGTGTAAAAATGTGATGTTCTTATCACAAAGGAAATAAATGATTTATTCTTCATGGCATATATCAAAATGAAGGTCCAATGAAAATATTTTTTATGAAGATAAATCTATATGGCAAAAAATTAAGTATTGATAAGTTTAACCCTACAGGTTGCATCAGGATTTTCAAGGTTTCCAGGGATGAGCAAGGCCCTGGAGTTTCCTCCTGTGACATTTTCCTGGAAGTTGCTCATGCTGTTATTCAATTTGAAAGTAGATAATATTGTTTGTTTCTCTTCCAATATTTACTAAATTCAAAATAATATAGGGCTCTTTACTCATAATTCTCAAACAATCATTCAGTCAGTGGGGCTCTGCTGAGGAAGAGCACAGACACATCCACACAAGTATAATGTTCCTCAAATAGAGGACTTCTCCTTGTGCTGGAGCCACCTATGTTGCACTCGATCAGAGGCTTTCCCAGGATAGCATTTCTCTGCAGCCCTACCTCAGTCTTAACCCTGAAAATCCCACTCAGAAGGCGACGGATGAACACCCACCCTAGCATTCTAATCTAATGGATCCTCTCTTAACAATCCCTTCCAGGGATCTGGGATCTTTCCTGGATTCGTCGGCCACACACACCTAGGCTCAAAAATTTGGACAGAAACTTTGATCCTCATTGGCCCTCCTGCCCTGTCCTACCAGCTTCTCTAGAAGTATGCTTCTCTAATTGCTCCTTAGAGACACTATCTAAGGGTATCAACCTGTGCCAATATAATTGATCTCATAAAGTGAGAAGGGAAATAGGCAAGAGTCCAGCTAGCCTAGAAGCAGTGTCTAGGGTTCCTTACCTGATTTATGTCTCTGATTTACCTAAATATTGACAAATACAGATTCACCTCTAGGCAGTAGAAAAACAGAAGGAGAAATCCCAGTTCGTAGAGGAAGAAGAAAATGCAATCAATGCTGTCTAGAGTCCCGCTTAAGCTCAGCCACAGGGTACTAAGTCTCTTCAGGAAAAAGCAATTGTTGTCCATCATCTGAAAAACTGTGGCCTGGAACCATGGGCACCGAGAGTGCACACTGCCCACTAGAGTTCCATGCCTACATCACGGAGAGATAGAATAGTCTCAAAGGATTCTTAAGAGTAATGTGGGGACCAAAAGGAGATGAATCCACAGCCTCTGCCTTACCGTCTGATCTAACTAATAGTATTTCCAGACCTTTCTGTGGGCTGCACCAGGGGTTGTTCAGAAAGAAAAAAAGTTGTTAATGTCCCACCGTTTCCCGTAGCTTCCGAGGTCTGTGTTGTTCATACCCCAGGTTCCAGGTTGTTCTCCCACTACTTCCACAGAATCAGTGTGTCTCATTCCGGTACCTATAATCTCATCTTTATTCTAGTCGCCCTCTACTTTTTTCTAGACACTTTATCTACTAGAGCCAGGTAAAATAGAGACAAGAATATTTACATAAAACTTAGCTGGAACTAAGTTGGAGTCCCATAACTGCTACTAGGCTGAGATGCAACTCAGAGGATACAAAAGCCAGGCTTGCCTAGAATTGCAGTTATGGGAAAGAAAGTCACATTTCACCCAGGAATTATTAGCACGAAATTCCAAGTTTGTGAAATAGATTCCTAGATGATTCCTAGATCCCCCAAACATTTCATCCTTATCTTGGAGGCAATCAGGAAGAGAAAATAAACCATACCTAATCAACAAATTATCTAACCAGCATGTGTGGAAAAGGAGGGAACATCATAGAGTTGGCTTGTTTTAGTACGTGTGGTGAAAAATGCCGCGAAGTCAGAGCTCAATTGGTCTCAAAAGCCTAAAAGATGACACAGATTAGCTTCACGGGACACATGGTATGGATGGTGTCGGCATACTGTTATGCTGAAGATGTCAAGAGTGGTGACTGATATCTCAAGAAGTGGGCCAAAAGTCCACTTCTGGTTACTCTGCTTGGTATGGTCTAGGAATTCTTCAACCATGAGACAAATAGGTCAACTTTCACCAGCAACCCCAAGTCTGGTTTGCAGTATTAGACTCTGCGTTAGACACAGATTTAGGTTCAATCTGCAGCTTGATTGTTGTCACTCTCTAGAAAACAAACCCTTACCATGGACTTCTAGATGAGTGATCCAGTTAGATCAGCATCTGAGATTGTCTCCAGTTTGCAGCCCAAAAGACATTCAGACAGTCTACAGTTTCCATTGTAGATAACCAAACAGATAGAATATGTGCCATTATCCCAAACCCTGAGTTCTGACCTTTGAGAGGAGCAACCACTCATGTCAGGTTCTGTATGGCTGGCACAGGTTAAACAGCCACAGCGGCCCAGTGGACATCATGAGGTTTCACCTTCCCTGACTCATCTATGAACCAGGACCAGTCATATAGGAAACACTCAGTAAATTGGGGGCCCCACAGAGACAGCATCTTTGCTTCAGAGGATAGAAGGAGGCATAAAATTTCAACCAGCTGGGGATGCTCTAGCCCTCTATGGGTGAAACTGAGTTTGTCAGGAGTTCTGCAGCAAGCTCTTAGCTGACTTTCAAATCAGTGTAACCAGTAGTGTGTCACTGAGTCCAAAAGCCCAAAGAACACCTCTGGGAGGAGGCTAGTCCTTTACTAGAGGCTCCAAATGCCAAAATCAAGATTTTCTTGACCTCAGGATGAATTGATCAATGCAAATCTCCCCAAATATTTTCACTAAACCTTAATTGGAAAGTAAGACTCCAGATTTTTTAACTCTCACTAAACATAAATATCTGATTTTTTCACCTGAGATCTATGTATGTGTGTTGGAGCATGCCTTTACCAATCAGCATAAAGTTACATCTCTCCTTGCGCCTCTACTTTCTACTTGTGCAGAGTTTAAAATGCAGAGGTGAGAGCTTAGGGTTTTCTGGGTCTTTTGCTAAGCATGTACCTGACCTTGAGCATCCCCAATTCCCCATTTCCTTCTTGATCCCAAAGACCGTTATCACAGTCTTAATTCCCAGCAGCTTTTCCTCCTAGAGCTTTTTGACATGATTATTCTTAGACCCAACTGATATCCTTCGTTCCTGGTAGACTGCGTAGCTCATTTCCATTTAAATGCTTTTAGAAATATTAAACTATGGATTTAAGATTTATCTGCTTTTTAAATTAAGTAATGCTGCTCTTAGCCTTCCACAGGACTTGAGGGTTATAAAAAAAAAGGAAGAAAATAATTATTTTATACCAATAGTATGAAAAAGAGACTGGGAATGACTATATTAATAGCAGACAAAATAGACTTAAAAACTTAAAAGAGACAATAAGACATTATATAGTCATAGATTGTCCATTTGGCAGGAAGATAGAAATAGTTTAAACCCATACCTAATAATAAAACATTGAGATATAGAAAGCATAACTTGACAGAATTAAAGGGGCAAAAAGGCAGTTCTAAAATAATAGTTGAAGATGTTAATACTCCACTCTGAGTAATGAATAGAAAAATGAGATAGATGATAAATTAGGAAATAGAGTTCTTGAATAACTCAATGAACCAAATTGATCTAACAGATATATACAATATACTCCATCCAACAAAAGAGACTACACACTCTTCTCAAATGCACATGGGGATTTCCCCACGATGGGCTGTGTAGTAGATCTCAAATTAAATCAATAACAGAAGAAACGTTAGAAAGTTTACAAAACTGTATAAATTAAACAACATACCCTTAAACAACAAATAAGTAAAGGAAGAAATCACAGAGGAAGTTGGAACATACTTACAGAGGAAGAAAAATGAAAACAAAACACATCAGAAGTTAAGGGAAACAGCAAAAAGAGTGCTAAGATGTAAAGTTTGCAGCTAAAATGCATTTAAAAAGAACAAAGATTTCAAATAAATAATAACTTTATCACCTAGTAAATTAGAAAAATAACACCAAATTAGATGCAAAGCAAAGAGAAAGAAGAAAATATTAAAGCTTTTAGCAGAGATAAATGCAATGGAGATTATACAAACCACAGAATTCCAAAAAACCAAAAGTTCATTCTCACTTCTTCAAAAAATTAACAATTGGCAAACTTTCAGCTACACACACAAAAAATTAACAGCATATTCACATACTAAAATGAGAAATGAAAGTGGGACATTACTACTAATTCAAAGAATTAAAATGTTTAAAAAACTGTACTGTGAACTATGATAGGATGATAAATTGGAAAACGTAGATAAAGTGGGCAGATTCCTAGGTATACAAGACTTGATTACAAAGAAATACAAAATCTGAATAGATACAAAACTACTAAGGAAATGGAATCAGTAATTAAAAGCCTCTTCATAAAGAAAAGCCCTTATTTTGTTGGCTTCACTAGTGATTTAGATCAAGCATTTATAGAACAAAAATCCTTTCCAAAGTCTACCAAAAGCCTGAAGAGAGCAGTTCCAAACTTATTCCATGAAGCCACCATTAGCTCATACCGAAGCCAGACAAAGATACTACAAAAACCCATAGACTAATATCCCTTATGAACACGGATGCAAAACTAGTCAGCAACATCCTAGCTAACTACATTCAACAGCATACTAGCAAGATTACAACCCATGACCAAGGGGAGTTTATTATTGGAATGAAAGGAAGTTTTAGCATATGGGTGGTTTCAGTGCAGTGGTGTTTACAAATAATTGATCACAACCAGTATAGATTTCTTTATTCTTTTTCCAGTCTCACTGGTTCACTTAGCTAGCCTTTCTTAACAAAAGTTTAAGCATATGAAAATTAATCAATGCATATGCCACATTGACAAACTTTTTAAAAAGTATTCTCTCATTAATACAGATAACGTATTTTACAAAATTCAAAATATTTTATAATAAAAACAATAAATTAGGAATAAAAGGAAACCAGCTTTGTAAAATTCACATATAAAAACCCACAGCAAACAACATATTCCAGAGGAAAAGATCAAAAGTGTTTCCTCTAAGCTCCGAAGACAGAGTGAATATCTGCTCTTGCTAGCCACTTTTATTCAACACTGTATTAGAAGTTTCATTCAGAGAAATTAAAAAAGACAATGAAATAAACTTCATCAAAGTGTGTACAGAAAATATATTCTTATATGTAGAAAATCTTTAAGATTCCACACAAAAAATATTACAACTAATAAATTCAGCTGAATAGTAGCATACAAAATCAACATACAAAAACAAACTGCATTTTATGTAGTAACATGAATAATCTGAGAAGAAAACTCTGAAAACAATTCAATTTACAATAGTATCAAAAGAATAAAGTAGTTAGGAAGTAACGAAGAAGTAAAATGCCAATTACTCTTGTGTAGATATTAAAAAATCAATTTTTAAGTTTATGGGGAATCTCAAAGATCTTTAAATTGCAAAAATAATTTTGAAAAAAATACCAAAGTTAGACAAGTCACACTTAATGATTTCAAGACTTACTACAAAATTCCAAAATAGCATGCTACAAAGAGACTAATGGAGTAATATAGAAGGCCCATATAAATAAACCCTCATATATAAGGTCAAATGATTTTTATGGGAAATGAACTGCCTTTACAACAATTAGTGCTGGGGAAATTGGGTGCCCACATGTAAAAGAGTGAAGCTGGGCCCTTAACTTCTACTATAAGAAAAAATTAACTAACTGGATCAAAGACCTAAATGTAAGAGCTAAAACTACAAAATTCTTAGTATAAAATGTAGGTAAAACACGTCATAAGGCTGGATTTGGCAGTGATTTCTTTTAACAGGACACCAAAAATGCAAGAAACAAAAGAAAAATAGATAAAGAGGACTCTATCCAGAATATACAAAGAACAATTCAGCAATAATAAACTACTTGTTTAAAATATGGGCAAAATACTTAAACAGATATTTCTCTAAAAATTATGTGAAGTGGCTTATAAGCCCATGAAAAGGTACTCAACAAAACCTTTTCATTTTCATTAGTAAAATGAAAATCTAACCCCAAATGACATATCACTTAATGCACATCAGCATAACTAGTACAAAAAGAAAAAAAAAACAGAAAATCACAAGTGTTGGTGAGGAAGTGGAGCAGTTAGAACCCTTGTACACTTGGTGGAAATGTAAAATGCTGCAGCTGCTATAAAACAACACCATAGTAACGAAATAATTTACACTCAAAATCACCGTATGATCCAGCAATTTCACATCTTGGTATGTTACAAAAGATGTGAAAGCGAAGACACAAAATAATACACGTACACCTAAGCTCATAGCAGCATGACTCACATCACTCAAAAGGTTTTTGAATTACCTGTGTTGTTTGAATTATCATCAATGAATAAATAGATAAAATGTGATTTATACATACAGTGGGATATTATTCAGTTATGAAAAATAAGGAAATTCTGACACATGGTACGTCATGCATGAACCTTAAGGACATTGTGCAAAGTGACTTGAGCCAGTCATAAAAGGACAAATACTGTATCATTCCACTTATGAGATAATTAGAGTAGTTAAATTCTGGAAACCCACGTAGAAGAGTGGTTCCTAGGAGCTGGAGGGGGAGTAACAGGGAGCTGTTATTTAATGTGTATTGAATTTTGGTTTGGAAGTTGAAAAAAGATCCTTATGAATGGGAATAATAGTTGCAAAACAATGTGAGTGTAGTTAATTTCTCTGAGCTGAACACTTAAAATAGTTAAGATGGTTAATTTTATGTATACTTTGCCAAAATGTAAAAAATATTTTTTAAATAAACAAAGTATAGCTATCTGCAATAGCATGAATTAATATCATAAATATAAAGTTGCCTAGAAGAAAGTAGATGTAAAAGTATACATATTATATAATTTCACTTATATAAAATCCAGAAAGTGAACACAACTGAGGTTCTGGCTTCCAGTAATAATGAAGTAGACTAGTTCGTTGAATAACTATTTCACAGATAACAATAATAAAGCTTAATAAAATACTATATTTTGCTATATAGAAAGGCACACTGTTTAGAAGACTGAATGAAGATTTTATCTATGCCACTGTGGAAGAGATAAGGATTGGGGTTTGAATCTATTCAAATTAACTCCCTCTTAAAATAATAATTTTCAAAGAAATACAACAGAATCCAGAGTCCCTGTAGTTCCTATCACACAATTTAAAAATTCATGAGATGTGTGAAGAAGCATGAAAGTGTAATCGATTCACAAGATAAAAAGCAGACAATAGAACCTATTCTCAAGATGTGCAAGATGCTGTAATCAGTAGATAAGATTTGAAAGAAGCTATGGTAAGTACGTTCATGTGGGTAAAAGAAAACAGTCTCATGACAAGTGAACAGAAGCGTAACTGTACACTTTCATGCGCGTCCGTGTGAAGAGACCACCAAACAGGCTGTGTGTGAGCAACATGGCTGTTTATTTCACCTGGGTGCACGCGGGCTGCGTCCGAAAAGAGAGTCAGCGAAGGGAGATAAGGGTGGAGCCGTTTTATAGGATTTGGGTAGGTAAAGGAAAATTACAGTCAAAGGGGGTTTGTTCTCTGGCGGGCAGGAGTGGGGGTCGCAAGATGCTCAGTGGGGGTGCTTTTTGAGCCAGGATGAGCCAGGAAAAGGACTCTCACAAGATAATGTCATCAGTTAAGGCAAGGACCGGCCATTTACACTTCTTTTGTGGTGGAATGTCATCAGTTAAGGTGGGGCAGGGCATATTCACTTATTTTGTGATTCTTCAGTTACTTCAGGCCATCTGGGCGTATACGTGCAAGTCACGGGGGATGCGATGGCTTGGCTTGGTCTCAGAGGCCTGACATACACTCCCAGTCTTTTGGTCACAGGGCTGTGGGACTGAGGAGGGAAATTAAAGAAAAATAAAATTAAAAAGAAAGAGAAATAAATTTTCTTGTATTGGGCTGACTTGTCCCAGAGGCTTCAACAGGCACAGCCCAGAACCAGGAATAGTCTTGATAATATTATCTAATGTGCTCTGGAGGCTCTCCCAACGCTCCCCCAACATCGGGAAAAGAAAAACAAATTTCCTTTTTTTACGGAATGAGTTTATAGATTCTTGTTCTCTGTAACTAGTGACTTCAAGTATTCTGTTTTATCTAAGAAGTACAATGTAAGTCATGAGAAGCCTGAGTAGGCTGAACTACAGCTGTTTGGGCACCATAGTGAGGGTTATAGGATAAGCCCATGCCCAGGGAAACCTAGAAAATGGACATGTGGGTTGCTTGGCAACGGTCATGTGCAATCCTGTCTGTCCTGCCTCTGTATCCCTGCTTTCACGCCACTGTAAACTTGCTTCAAGCTAGCCCACCACCTTTTGTGAAATGTGCATAAAAGTCAGGTTCTGTCTTTGTTCCGGGCCCAGTCTTTTTGATGTGAGTTAGCTTGTCCTCAGTTTCATGCGCGTCCGTGTGAAGAGACCACCAAACAGGCTTCGTGTAAGCAATAAAAGCTTTTAATCACCTGGGTGCAGGCAGGCTGAGTCCGAAAAGAGAGTCAGCAAACGTAGATAGGGATGGGGCCATTTTATAGGATTTGGGTAGGTAAAGGAAAAAGGGGGATTGTTCTCTGGCGGGCAGGAGTGGGGGGGTCACAAGGTACTCAGTTGGGGAGCTTTTGAGCCAGGATGAGCCAGGAGAAGGAATTTCACAAGACAATGTCATCAGTTAAGGCAGGAACAGGCCATTTTCACTTCTTTTGTGGTGGAATGTCATCAGTTAAAACAAGAACCGGCCATCTGGATGTGTACGTGCAGGTCACAGAAGGTACGATGGCTTAGCTTAGGCTCAGAGGCCTGACACTGAGTGCACTCAATAAAAATTCTCCTGTTTCAACCCGGGGTCTCTCTCATCCTCCTGAATCCCGCAACGGGAGAATTCCAGCATGCACCAGGTTCACGGGACAGTGCGCGGTCACTGAAAGAAGAGTGGGGCGGGGAGGGTGGTGTGCGGCTGTGAGCACCTCTTGTGCTTGCTGGGAGATGTAGTCTTATAAAGACTCCCAGCCCTTTGGTCACAGGGCTGCAGCACCCCAATTCCAGCATACACCGGAATCAGAGACAGTGCGCGCTGGCAGAGGAAGAGGTAGAGCTGTGCGTGACTCGCTGGGCTTGATGGAAAATGTAATCTCATGAACACTCCTTAATGAACAGTGCGCCTCACTGGAGGAAAAGGCGGGGCTGTGCAGGCCTTGCTTTGCTTGCTGAGAGATGCTGTCTCATAAACACTCCCAGCCCTTTGGTCACAGGGCTGCAGGACTACATTCCCATCATGCACCGGGATCAGGGATAGTGCATGTGCCTGGGTGAAGAGACACAGTTTTGCGAGCCTCCTTTGGCTTCCTGGGAGATGTAGTTTCATAAAGACACCCAGACTTTTCATTACAGGGCAGCCGGACTACAATCCCAGTATGCACCAAGATCAAGGATAGTGCGCGTAACTGCAGAATGAGGCGGCATTGTGCACGCCTCGCTGGACTTGGTGGGATATGTATTCTCATAAACATACCCAACCCTTTGGTCATAGGGCGGGAAGACTACAATCCCAGCATGCACCTGGCTAAGAGACAGTGCCTGTCACTGGAGGAAGAGGCGGAAGACTACAATCCCAGCCAGCACCGGGCTCAGGGAAATTGTGCGTCAGTGGAGGAAGAGGCGGGGTTGTGTGCTACTCGCCAGGCTTGCTGGGAGTTGTATTCTCATAAAACCTCCCAGCCCTTTCATCACAGGGCTGAAGGACTACACTTCCAGCCCCAGCATGCACTGGGCTCAGGGACAGCGCGCGTCACTGGAGGAAGAGGGAGGGCTTTGCGCTTCTAGCTGTGATTTTTTGGGAGATGTAGTCTCATTAACGCTCCCAGCCCTTTGGTCACAGAGATCCAGGACTGCAATCCCAACATGCACCCAGCTCAGGGATAGTGCGCTAATCACTGCAGGAAGAGGCAGGGCTGTGTGCACCTCCTGGACGTACTGGGAGATGTATTCTCATAAACACTCCCATCCCTTTGGTCATAAGGCTGCAGGACTACAATCCTAGCATGCACCCAGCTCAGTGACAGTGCGCTAGTCTAAGGAGAAAGAGGCAGGGCAGTGTGCGCCTTGCTGGGCTTCCTGGGAGATGTAGTCCCATGGCGTCTCCCTGCCCTATGGTCACAGTGCTATAAGACTACAATCCCAGCATGCACGGGGCTCAGGGAGAGTCCACATCACTGCAGAAAGAGGGGCAGGTTGTGCGCACCTCGCTGCGTTTGCTGGGAGATGTTGTTTCATAAAGACTCTCAGACCTTTTGTCACAGGGCTACAGGACTACAATCCCAGGATGCATCGGGATCAAAGCAGTATGCGACACGGGGAAAAGATGCGGAGCTGTGTGCGTCTCCCTAGGTCTTCTGGGAGATGTGGTCTCTTGGCCCTTTGGTCACAGGGCTGCAGGACTACAATGCCAGCATGCAGCGGGTTCATGGACAGTGTGTATCACTGGAGGAAGACGTGGAGCTGTGCGTGCCTCGCTGGGCTTGCAGGGAGATGCAGTCTCATAACTACCCCAGTCGTTTGGTCGCAGGGCTGCAGCAGTACAATTTCAGCATATCTCTGGCTCAGGGAGAGTGCACTAGTCACTGAAGGAAGAGGTAGGTCTGTGCGCACCTCTCTGGGCTTGCTGGGAGAGGTAGTCTCATAAACACTACCAGCCCTTTCATCACATCGCTGTAGGACTACAATTCCAGCATGCACGGGGCGCCGGGGCAGTCCGCCTCACTGGAGGAAGAGAAAGGCGTGTGAGCGCCTTGCTGGGCTTTCTGGGAGATGTTGTCTCTTTATTTCTCCCAGCCCTTTGGTCACAGGGCTTCAAGACTACAATCCCAGCATGCATCCTGCTCAGGGACAACGCGCGTCACTGTAGGAAGAGGTGGACCTGTGCTGTTCTCGCTATGCTTTTTGGGATACGTATTCTCGTAAACACTCCCAGCCCTTTGGTCACTGGGCTGCATCACTACAATCCCAGCATACATCGGGATCAGGGAGAGTGCGCTAATCAGTGGAGAAAGGGGCCAGGCTCTGCACACCTCGCTGGTCTTGCTGGGAGATGCAGTCTCATAAACACTCCCAGCCCTTTGGTCACTGGGCTGCAGCGCTACAATCCTAGCATGGACCGGGCGCAGGGAATGTGCGCGTCACTGGAGGAAGAGGCAGGGTTGTGCAAGCCTCTCTGGGCTTGGTGGGAGTTGCAGTCTCATAAACACTCCCAGACCTCTCATCACCGGGCTGCAGGACTACAATCCCAGCATGCACCCGGCTCAGGGAGAGTGCGCATTACTGGAGGAAAAGTCTAGGCTGTGGATGCCTCCTTCTGCTTGCTGGGAGATGTAGTTTCATAAAGACTCCCAGAACTTGTGTCACAGGGCTGCAGGACTACCATCCCATTATGCACTGGGGTTAGGGACACGGCCCGTCAGTGGAGAAAGAGGCGGGGCTGTGTGCGTCTCCTTCGGCTTGCTGGGAGATGTATTCTTATAAACACTCCCAGCCCTTTGGTCAAAGGGCTACAGGACTACAATCCCAGCATGTGCCAGTCTCGGGGGCGAGGTACAGGCCTGGAAGAAGGGGCAGAGTGGTACACGCCCCACCTAATATGCTGGGAGCTGTAGTCTGTTAACTGCTCTCAGCCTGTTTGTCGGTAGGCTTCAGAACTATAATCACAGCATGTACCGGGACCCGGGGTGCATAGCCCTGGAGGGAGGGGCAGAGCGGTGTGGACTTCCCGGTGTACAAAGCACTGCTGAGTTCTTATGCTATGCCGACTCTTTGCCAAGGAGAATGAGTACATAGGTGGACCTAGAGGACAGGTCTGCGCTGAGCATTGAGGAGGGTATTACCCTACATAGGCACCTTACCTTTGCCCAAATCGGGCGGGTTGTCCTCAACTGATTGGCCCTATCCTTCTCAAGTTCCTCTTTCAGCTGCACCCAGGGTTCTTTCCAGAGCATTGCGCCTTCTGCAGCCCAGGGCGCTGCCTTCTTTCCTAAACTGCTGTGGAAACTGTCCTGATGTCTGAGACACTGTCCATTGTGCCGCAGCCCTCTTTTTTCTCTAGCCAAGCCTCATGCTCAACAGCTTTTGAGAGAAATCTTCCACGTGGCCTGCTTATGAACAGCTTCAGAATTCTGTAGGGGGTGACAAGGTCTGTGGCTTCCTGGAAATGTCACTCTCAATGGCGCCTTTTTCACGAATGTGAAAGTTGAGGCATCAGGAAGGTTAATTATTGGGTTGCACAAAATCTGCTAAGAGCAAAGGAGAAAACCTCATTTCCGAGGCATGAGTCTTGTGAGCCATTTTCATCAACCCATTTAAGTGGACAAGCTCCAAAATGAAACCTGAAGCTGCTGACTATTTAGGCATTTTACACTTGAAATCATCGGTCTCATCTCAAGTCACTCCTGACTTGCCAGTGTCTCAGAAACACAAATGGGACCGGATCCCTCAGGAGCAGATAGTGTTCCAGCTTTGTTGGAGCGACATTTAAGATGTGGAGCACTTGGGGTCGTTTGAAACCCGCTATCTTCAGTAGGGACTTTTACTTCTAGAGAACATGTGCATTTTGATTTTATCTGTCCTCAAACTGAACTTTTGCTCATTTTAATAGTAAAAACACATTCCTAGGTGGAGACTTAAGATGCTAATGAGACATGCAATGTATGCACAAATATGTACAGTTAGTGCACATGTGCACCCAGAAGACCACTCAAAACATGCTTACACTAACACTTCTTTCCACCTTCTTATGAATAATCGTGCAAAACCCCCAGAAGGAGGGTTTCTCCAGTAACAATTAATGGTGTCTCACTCTTATGAGCAGCCTGCCCTGGAATCTCTTTCTCAGAATGTACCGTCTATTCTGCACTTAATTTTCAAAGTAGTCTTTTCTTTTTTTGTGTGCAATAAATTACTCTATGCTGTACTTCTTTTGCTGTGTGTTTCTTGTTTAAATTCTTTTAAACTAAGAAAATAAGAATCAAGGTATTACATCAGCCATCAACATTTCTTTTGCCATGGCCTGGAGAGAGGTCTGTCCGCTTCACTGATTTCACTTTCCCTTTACTTGCCGTGAATACTGTGGCACTTCCAGACTACCTGGTTAACTATCGCTGGTTCTTCCAGCACTGTTTCACTAAAGTTCTGGGGAAACCCTGTCCCTTTAGGCTTTATGCATTTCCCAGCTCCTTGAAATTGTTCTTCAACAGGCTTTCTTTGCTGAACAAAAGATGCACAGTCATGGATATGCCCAGTCATAGGGATTGAATCTGAGCATTGCAGGTGTTATAATTGGGCATCATAAATGGCAAACCACTGAATTAGGGAAAGGCTTGTCAGCCAGACATCTGCTCCCCAGCGAGCAGTGGGGGTCATCTCGGCAGGGCTGGAGATGTCCAGCGCTGGTGAGAGCTAGGACGGTGCATGGCAAATGCCTGTGACCTCCTAGAGCTTCAGTTAATGGGGTTTCAAGGGGATGAGTTGGACAACTTGGTGGTTCCACTTGGCTCATGGGGCTGCCCACAGCCTCCTGGACTTTAGTACATGTTCTGTCGTTTGCAGGATTCTCTTGGCACCATGGGAATCACTTCCTCTACTGTCACTGAAACACACCTGGGATGTATATTTAAAAATTGAAACAGCTTTTGGCTAAATGAAGCAAAAAAACAATTATCTTCTTTTGTAAAACTATTTAGCCTGCATACAGATTAGCTGACAAAACATGGCTGGAGAATGAGACTGTGAAATTTAACACCATCATACAGCTAGATCTTTTCTGTAGTAATCAGGGAAAATGGTCTGAAATATCCTATGTGCAAGACTTTCTGGCCCGACAACAAAACCCAGCTCTATGCAGCACCTGTGGGCTAAAGCCTAGTAAGCCACAAAGCCCCTCAGAACCATTAGAAGATCATTTGTTTTATGGGCAAGGGACCCCAGACCCCACAGCCTAATACCAGCTCCAGATAGGGGCCCTCAGAGGCCTACACCTGCTTTAGAATCCCCAGCGTCCCCACACTATCAGAGTCTTCTGTAGAATCTAAGCTTGTTTCATCTCCTCCTTATGCTCCTCTATCAGCCTTTGCCAGTTACAATAGAGACCAGTCCAGCTGCAGTTACTCACAGTGGAGCTTCACACCATGCAGGGCCAGAGAATTTGATCCGCTTACAGAAAGTCTCAAATGGAGAGAGGACCATCAGAGTGCTTGTTCTCTTCCCAATAAATGATCTAATCCAATGTAAGCAACAGCTCTGATGGCTCTCAGACAACTTCAGCGCGTTTACTGAAGCCTTCCAGTCTCTAACTTTGACCACCATTCAACTTTACCATCCATAAATGGACCCAATGACTGCTGCCAACTCAGCTGCACAAAACTTTTTCTTATTTGCGAAAAATAGAAAAGACTTAAAACTTTTGCTGCTTTCACCATTTTAAAGCAGAATACTTTTGCAGCACAAATGTCACCATAAGGTGGATCCTTGGGAATCCAGTACAAACTATCTCAGAAAATCTCAGTGTGTCCCCAACAGGCAGCAGAGGGCCTCAATAGACTTCAACAACGTCTGGACTCCATGGCCACTGTATTCCAACAAAATCAAAGAGCCTGGGATCTTCTCCCAGCCAAGCAAAGAGGAACAGGTTTATATCTAAAAGAAGAATGCTGTTTTTTGAGATCAATCAGTCTGGTTTATTCCAAGAAAATATTAATAATATCATCACCCAGGCAGACAAAATTGAATCTCTAGGAACTTCCATGGGAACATGAAAGCGATGTCCATTGCCTGCCTTGCTCTCTTTAATAGTACCCGTCATTATTATATTTTCAACTTCTACTTTTGTTCCAATTTTGTTTAAAATGTTAACTGATTTCCTGCTATGTTGCTTGTGGCAGCTCCATGTTTGCATGATGGTTTGCAAGGCTTTCAATCTTTGGCTGCCAACATCTTCCCACTGGTTCCACGAACGACATGGTTTACACCCTGTTAGATCACACAGGAAGAAATTTTAAGGCCCAGGCTAGGCAGAAGTAACACCCACTCAGCAGGAAACAGCTCCAGAAAAAGTGGTCTAACCCCTCAACCTCCAATATGGTTATTGCCCTAAAATCTCTTAGGGGGAAATTGAGGCAGACTAGATAGTCCAGAAAATGACCATGATCTCGGCATACAGAAACCGTGGTGACTGTACAGCCAAAACAATAAGCCTTAGCATTCGCATTGTAATTGGGCTTATTCGAGCAAACCTATCCTTATTAAGGGCTTTCTGTTCTAGAGAGCATGTGTATTTTGATTTTACCTGCCCTCAAACTTAAATTTTGCTTATTTTAATAGCAAAAAATGCACCCTCTAGCCAGGCACGGTGGCTTATACCTCTACTCTCAGCACTTTGGGAGGCTGAGGAAGATGGATAACTTCAAACTAGAAGCTTGAGACTAGACTGGCCAACATAGAGAAACCCCGTCTAAATTAAAAATACAAAAATTAGCAGGGTATGATGGTGCATGCCTGTAATCCCAGATACTCAGGAGGCAGAGGCACGAGCATGGCTTGAACTCAGGAGGCAGAGGTTGCAGTGAGCAGAGATCACACCACTGCACCCCAGCCTGGGCAACACGGCGAGACTCTGTCTCAAACAAACAAACAAACAAACAAACAGAAGTACACTCCTGGGTGGAAATATAAGATGCTAACGAGACATGCAACATATGAACAAGCATGTACAGCTACTGCGCATATGCACCCAGAATACCACAGAGAACATGTTTACTAGCAACTCCTCTTCCCTCCTCCTTATTAATAATAATGTAAAACTGCCATAAAGGGGTTTCTCCAGCGACAGTCCACGCTGTCTCACTCTTATGAGCAGTCCGCCCTGGAATATCTCTCTCAGGGTGTACTGTATTCTGCACTTAACTTTCAAATATTTTCTTTTCCAATAAATTATGCTGTACTTTTTTTCTTTGTGTCTCTTGTTTAAATTCTTAAAATCTAGGAAGACAAGAACAGAGGTATCACATCAGTTGTCAACACAGCAATAAGTCAGCCTCCTTCTTGTAAGCATAGCCCATGCAGAAAAGGAGAGTCGCATCACCTAGGTGCTGGATCCAGAGGTATGTCACAATTTATCCCATGCACAAAGTTAAGGTCATTGAGGAGAGTCGTATTAAATAATTTCTGGGCCCAGGGATTTGTCACAACAGCTCCTATGAGAAGAGATCAGGCAGCATAATCACATAACCGGTGTGCTGGACACAGCGATAAGCCACCTTTCATCTGTGGGCATGACCCAGGCAAGAAAGAAGAGTCACGGCATTTAGGTGCTTGCTGCAGAGGTACGTAACAATCTCTCTTATGGGCAAAGCTCAGGTAAGAGAGAAGAGTCAAATATCCAAGGTGATTCATGTAGAAATTTGTCACAAGAGACTTTTTAGGCAGGGCCCATGTTGGATCTTCTTACCTTCCAGAAGTTAGGTACAGGGATATGTCAGAATACCCAAAATACACAGGGCTCAGTCAATAAAGAAGAGCCACATCACCCAGGTGCTGGGTCTAGACATATGTCACATCTCTTTTATGGGGAAAGCTCAGGTAAAAAAGGAAGGTCACATCAAATAGTTGATAGACCCAGAGATATGTCACTTTGCCTCCTGCTTGAAGTGTCTAGGCCAAAGACTCACATCACATTGGTGCTAGGCCTGTGTTCATATATAAACATTCAACCAGAGTTGAAATGGTGGCCCACATCTAAACTCAGCTCATAGGCAAGGGATGAGTCTCCTATCCTGACATAGTTAATTGTAATGATGTTGACTCTCATCCCTGGGCCTAATGCTACAAGTACGATCATGGGTCCCTACCATTAGGAAGGTCTCAAAGTTGATTACGACTCTCATGCATACTGTATAGGGCCATTGGGTAGTACACAGAGCGTGCTAACTGGGCCGAGCACACAGGTGAGATTGTCACACTCATATGCACACCCAGCCAACAGTAACTATTGTCATCCTCTCACGGGAACACAGGTCAGTCTGCAGAGGAATTGAGGCTGTCATGCGCAAATCCAGTCTGGTGTTGAGATGGTTACTCGTGGGCTTAGACCCAACACACAGGAGGTGTTGAATGTCATGCCTACCACTGAGACAGCTGTGGGATTGTTAATCTAATTCCTGGACCATTCTGCAGCTTCCATTGTGAAATTTCCCAGTGCCTAGCACCTAAGTGACTTGACGGGCTCGCATGGACCCAGCCCACAGATGGGATATTAACATATTGCTGGATCCAGCACATTGAGGATGTAACTCTATTCTCCTTCCTTGGCACTGCCCACAGTGAGCATTTTGACATATCGCTAGACCTTGCACCCGGAGATGTGAGTCTCCTCTTCTGCCTTGGCGCTGCCCTCAGGAAGCGTTGTTATATATAGCTTGGCCTCGCATCCAGGTTATGTGACTCTCCGGCTTGTGCACTGCCCATATGGGACACTGTGTTAATATTGCTGGGTCCACTACTCAGACGATGTAACCCAACAGCCTGGGCCCTGCCTTACAGGGGCATTGTGACATATCTCTGTGCTCATCAGCCAGGTGATGTGATTCTCTTCTCCTGCCTGGTCCCTTTACACAGAAGGGATTGTGACACGTTGCTGGGCTTAGCACCAAGTTGATGTTGCTGTGAATCTTCTGCCTGGATCGAGTTCACAGAAGGCATCGTGACATACCTCTGGGTGCATCACCTATTTGATGCAACTCTCCTCTCTTACCGGAGCATTGCCCATAAGAGAGATTGTGACATATCTCGGGGTGTAGCACCGGGATGATGTGACTCTTCTCCCTGCCTGGGTCATGCCCACAGAAGGAAGTGTGACTTATAACTGGGAACAGCACAGGGGTGATGTGATTCTTCTGCCTGGTCCCTACATACAAGAGTCATTGTCAAATGCCTCTGGGCCCATCATCTAGACTATGTCACTCTCTACTACTTCCTAGGGCCTGCTCACATAAGGATTGTGACATATTACATGCCCTACATCATGTGACTTTTCTCTCATTTCTGAGCTCCGTCTTGGAGATGAATGTGACACATAGCTAGGCCTAGCCCCTAGGTTCTGTAACTTCTCTTTTTTCAAAATCCTACCCACCAGGGGCATTGAAACATCTCTCTGGGCACTTCACTTAGGTAATGTTACCCTGTTGCCTGGAGCCTCCACTCAGGGGGTATTGTGACATATTGCTGGACACAGTACCTATGTGATATTACTCTCCTTTCTTGCCTGGGCCTTGTATACATTGTGTATTATAATATATGGCTGGGTTCAATGACTAGGTGTTGCAACTCTCATGCATAGGCCCTACCCACAGGGACATTATGACATTTCTTTAGCTCTGACTCCCCTCTTTTTCCTTAGCCCTGCCAAAAAGGGAGGTGGTGACATATAACTGGACCTAGCAACCAGCTAATATGAGTCTCCTCTTTTGCCTGCACCCAGCATATTTTAGGTGTTGTATCATATCCTTTGTCTCAACACCTGCAGGATGAAATGCTCCTGCCTGAGCCCAGCCATCTGTCAAAATTGTCATTCTCCCACACGAACATGGACCATAATTGAGGTTCTGAAACTCACACCCAGAGGCAGTCAAAAGTTGGAAAATTGGCTCTAATAAGTGGATGTTGTCCTTAAGTGGGTTTGTGACTCCCTGACCAAGATCCAAAACACTTGTGAGGCTGTGAGTCCACTAAGATAACTCAGTTTTCAAAAGGGATTAAGGCTCTCATGGAAAAAACCCATTCCTCCATTGAGATTGTGACTTATGCACATAGATGCAACATACAGGAGGCGTTCACTCTCATACCCAGAACCGGAACTTATGTGGGATTGTTAATCTCACCCATGGACCTTCCTGCAGGTGTGATTCTGACGTACACCTCTAGCCAGCACCTGAGTGATTTGACATTTTTGCCTGGGTGTAGCCCACAGATGAGATTATGATATATCTCTGAATCCAGCATCTAATTAATATGCTTCTATTCTCCTGTCTTGGCACTGCCCATAATGGGTATCCTGACCTAACACTGGTCCTGGCACTTTGTTATGTGACTCTGTCCTGTGCTTTGCCCACATGAGCCATTGTGACATATTGCTGGGTCCAACACCCAGGTGATGTAACTCTTGTCTAGACTTTGCCTACAGGGGGCATTGTGACATATCTCTACACTGACCACCCAGGTGATGGGACTCACTTCTCCTGACTGCTACCTGTTTATAGCAGGGATTGTTACAAATCGTTGAGGGAAGACTCTAGGTAATGTGACTGTCTTTTTACTGAGCGCTACCCACAGGAGCCATTGCAAAATATCTGTGGGTCTCTCACCTAAATGTAGTGACTCTTTGCCTGGGCTCATTTCTCAGGGGTATTGTGACATATGGATGACCTCAGCACCGAGGTGAACTGAGTTTCTTCTACTGTAGGGCTCTGACCAAAGAGAGATTACAATGTATCACCGGGCCCAGCACCTGAGCTATTTGACTCTCCGCTCTTGGCTGCGCCCTACATTTATTGTGTATTGTGACATATCACTGGTCCAACACGTAGGTAATGTGACTCACCTGCATGGGCCATTTCACCATGGGTACTATGAAGTATCTTTTTGTTCATCACTTAGGTGATGCAACTCTTTTCTTTGCCTTGGGCCCCACATAATTTAGCTATTGTGATGTATCACTGGGCCAATCACCTAGTCAATAGGAAGCTTCTGCCAAGACCCTGACTACTGAGGGCCTTGTGACATAGCTCTGCATTTATCACCTAGAAAATATGATCCCCCCCCATTTCTGCCTGAACCCTGCTCAAAAGAAAAATTGTAGCATATTTCTGGGCCCAGCAAACAGGTGATGTGTTTCACCTGCCTGTGCTTAGTTCACAGGAAAATTGTGACATATCACTGGGCCCAGAACCCAGGTGAGGTGACTCTGCTGCATGTGTCGTGCTTTCAGGAGGGAACAAGAACATATCCCTGGCAGAACTCTTAGGGATGTGACTCTCTTGCCTTGTCCCTGTCCTCAGGGAAGACTGCAACATGTCCCTGACACAGACCCAGGTGATGAGACTCTCCTGCTTCTGACTACTCAAATGTGAGATTGTCACATATATTTTGGCCTAGCATGTAGGTGTGATGATGACATTCATACCTTAAACCAACCAATAGCAGAGATACTTTCTCTCACAGCCAGGCTTAACAAAACTTGCAAAATTATGGGTCTTCTCTTACTATGAAGGTCAGAGAAAGTAAGCACTCTTGCATATCCTGTAAAGCACTCAGATGGTACAGTGTCATCACAGGGCCCAGAACACAGGTGAGATTGTGTTCTCTGTGTGCACACCCACCAGTCATCAGAATTATCATTCCTACACAGGAACAGAGGTGATTAGGGAGGTCTAAATCTCATACCTGAGTGCCGTCCACAGCGGGAATTGTAACTATCACATGTGAACATCCAGTCACAGTGGGGATAGTGACTTATTTCTGAACCCAGTTTACAGCCAAGTAAAGATCCTCTTATCTGGATCCAGCCAGCTGGAGAGATGTTGACTCTCATACCTGGACTTATGGCCACAGGTATGATCATAGGTTCATATCAGCATGAAGACCTCAGAGTGGATTATGTTTAATGCATACTCTACAAGGCCCACAGGAGGTACATAGTGTCCTAACAGGGCCCAGCAAACAGGTGAGATTCTAACACTCATGCACACTCTGGTGACAATAAAAGTTACCATCCTCAAAAATGGGCACAACCGGCGTGGCTCAGTGGCTCACGCCTGTAATCGCAGCACTTTGGGAAGCCGAGGCGGACAGATCATGAGATCAGGAGATCAAGACCATCCTGGCCAACATGGTGAAACCACGTCTCTCTACTATTTATGATTATGATTATGATTATGATTATTTTGAGACAGAGTCTTGCTCTGTCACCCAGACTGGAGTGCAGTGGCACCATCTAGGCTTACTGCAACATCCGCCTCCCGGGTTCAAACAATTCTCTTGTTTCAGCTTCCCGAGTAGCAGGGACTACAGTCTCATGCCACCATTCCCAGCTAATTTTTGTATTTTTAGTGGAGACGGGGCTTCACCATATTGATTAGGCTGGTCTCAAACTCCTGACCTCAGGTGATCCACCCACCTCGACCTCCCAAAGTGCTGGGATTACAGGCATGGGACACTGTGCCTGGCCACCCCATCTCTACTAAAAATACAAAAATTAGCTGAGCGTCGTGGCACGTACCTGCAATCCAAGCTACTCGGGAAGCTGAGGCAAGAGAGTTGCTTGAACCCAGGAGGCAGAGGTTGCAGAGGGCCGAGATCGCCCTACTGCACTCCAGCCTGGCGATAGAGTGAGACTCCGTCTCAAGGGACCAAAAGAAGAAAGAAAGAAAGAAAAAGAAAGAAAGAAAGAAAGAAAGAAAGAAAGAAAGAAAGAAAGAAAGGGAGAAAGAAAGAAAGAAAGAAAGGAAGGAAAGAAGGAAAGAAGGAAAAGAAAGAAAGAAAGAAAGAAAGAAAGAATGAAAGAAAGAAAGAAAGAAAGAAAAAGAAAGAAAGGAAAAGAAAGAATGAAAGAAGAAAGAAAGAGAAAGAAAGAAGAAAGAAGGAAGGAAGAAAGAAAGAAAGAAAAAGAAAGAAAGAGAAAGAAAGAGAAAAAGAAGAAAGAAGAAAGAAAGAAAGAAAGGAAGAAAGAAAGAAAGAAGAAAGAAAGAAAGAAAGAAAGAAAGAAGAAAGAAAGAAAGAAAGAAAGAAAGAAAGAAAGAAAGAAAGAAAGAAAGAAAGAAAGAGAGAAAGAAAAAGAAAGAAAGAGAAAATTGACTCTCATATATGGATCTTGTCCACAGGTAGGTGGGTGACTCTCAAACCAAAATTCATTACATCTGTGAGACTGTAACTCTCCTAAGGGGAGAAGTTCTTCTCAGCCAGAGAAGAGTCATTTATGAATTCAGTTCACTGTTGAGATTGGGACTGGTGTACCTAGGCCAAACATACAAATTCTCATACCTGGAATCCGGACATGTGTGGAGTTGTTCATCTCATCCCTATCGCTTTCTGCAGGTGGGATTGTGACATACATCTCTGCCCAGCTCCTGAGTGTTTTAGCTCTGTTTCCTGTGTCCAGCTCACAGATGGGATTCTGATATATCACTGAAGCCAGCACCTAGATGATGTGACTCTTATCTCCCGCCTTGGTGCTGCCCACAGGGGACATTGGGACATATCACTTGGCCTAGCACCTAGGTAATGTATGTTTTCTGTCTTGCATTAGTGCTACTCACAGGGGTGTTGTGATGTATTGCTGGGTCCCACATCCATGTTATGTGACTCTTCTGCCTGTGCCCAGTCCACAATGGCCATTTTGACATATTGTTGCATCCAAAACCTAGATGATTTACCTCTCCTTCCTGAGCTTTGCCTAAGGGGACATTGTGAAATATCTATGAGCCCATCACCCATGTGGTGTGATTTTCTTCTCCTGCCTAGTCCCTGCTTAAAGAAAGGATTGTGACATATCACTGTGCCCAGCACCTAGCTCATGTTACTCTTCTTTTGTTTTTTAGGATTTGTTTGGAAGGAGATTGTGATACATTGGTGGGTCCAACTTCTCGGTGACATTACTCTGTTGACTTTGCTCTGCAAGCAGAAAGCACTGTGACTCATTATTAGGCCCATCTCCTGCCTGAAGCCTGCCTACAGCAATTTGTAACATATGGCATTGGGACATATCTCTGAGCCCATCAACTATTTGACAAGATTCTCCTTTTTTAACAAAGGCTTTGCCCATAGGAGAGATTGTGACATAATTCTGAGCCCAGAAAATAAGGGATATTTCTTTTGTTTTCTGCTTGAGCCCCACATTGTGATGTATTTCTCCTCCCAACAACTGAGGGAAGGGAAAGTCCTGCCTGGGTCTTGCCTACAGGGAGCCTTGTGAAATCTTTCCGCGTTCATCACCTTAAATATGTGACCCTCATCTTCTGCCGTGGCCATGTTTACAGAAGGCAGAGTGGGTTATTCCTAGACCCAGCACACAGGTCATGTGATTCTGCATCCTGGTGTCTCCAGAGGGGTCATTTTGACATATCTCTAGACTCATCAACTAGATAATGTAATGCTCCTCTTCCCCCTGAAACCTATCCATAGTGGAGATTGTGAAATACAGCCTGGCACAGCACCTACATGATGGTACTCTCTTCTCATGCTTGGGTGCTGCCCACAGGGGTGATTGAGACTTATAGCTGGGTACAGTCTTCAGGTGATGTAACTCTCCTCTATTTTTGGGCCCACACACACAGGGCACTACCATATAGCTCTGCTCCTCAGACCTAGGTGATGTGACTCTGCTGTCTGTTACCTCCTCTTAGGGGGAATTGTGATATATTGCTGGGCCCAGAACCGAGGTGATGTGGCCTTTTCTCTTGCCTGGGCCCTGCATACATGGTGTACAGTAACATATATCTGGGTTGAACACATAGGTGATGTGACTCTTCTGCATAGGTCTTGCCAACAGGGGTATTATAACATACTCTTCTATTCATTGCCTAGGCGATGTGACTCTCCACTCTTATCTGGGCCCTTCCAAAAGAGGGGATTGTGACATATCACTGACCCTACCACCAAGGTAATGTGACTGTTCTCTTTTACCTGGGTTTGCATATTTTGGGTATTGTGACATATCCCTAGGCCCAACACTTAGGGAATAAAAGGTTTATTCCTCTACCTTACGTGCAGTGAAGCTTGTGACATATTTCTGCATTCATCACCAAGAAGATGTGACTCTTCTGCCTGCATCCTGACCACAGAGAGGATTGTGAAATATTGCTAGATCCAGCATGCAGGTGATGTGTCTCTGCTGCCTGGTTCCTAATGTGAGGAGTGGATTGCAACATACCAATGCCTGAACATTCAGATAATGTGACTGTTGCCTGGTCCCTGTCCTCAGGGAAGCGACATATCACTGGCCCAGCGTCCAACTGATTTTACTCTCCTGCTCTCTTCCTATATGCAGGTGTAATTGTGACATATAGCTTGGAACACAACACACAGGTGCAATGATGACATTCATATGTCAAACCAGCCAATAGAAGAGATACTGCTTCTCCTAGCTACACTTAGGGAAATGAAAAAAAACCCTGGGTCTCCTCACTAAGATCATCCACTCTCTCACATATTACAGAAAGCCCTCGGGTGGTAGAGAGTCTTATCACAGGGCCCAGCGCACAGGTGAAATTTGTTACTCCTATGCGCACCCTGAACCCTCCTGACCATTATGATTTTCACCCTCACATACAAACAGAACCCACTGGTGAGGTCCTGAATTTCACACATGAAAGCAGTTTATAGTTGGAATTGCGAATCTCATATGTAAAGATCTGGCCAGAGTTGGAATGGGAACTTTGTTATAAACCCAGCGCATAGAAAGCTGATGATTCTCTTATCTGGACCCCGCCAATTGTAAAGATGTTGACTCATATAGGCTTAGGGCCACAGGTTTGATCATGGGTCCATACCAGCATGAAAATCTCTGAAAGAATTGAGATTGTCATGCATACAACATAAAGCCGTCAGGTGCAACACAGAAAGTCCTAATAGAGCTCAGCACACAGTAATATAATGACATTGGGATGCACACCCAGCCAACATTAAAGATTGTCGTTCTTTCACATGATCATAGTTCACTTTTGAGGCTCTGAATCCCATACCCAAAGGCAGATTGACAAGTTGAAAAATTGACTCTCATATTTGAGAGTCACAGATGTGTTGATGACTCTCAGATCATGAGTCAGCACACCTAGGAAGCTGTGATTTCAATTAGGGGACAAAGTACGCAAGAGAAAATGGGGCTGCCATGCACAAATTTAGTCCACTATTGAGATAGTGACTTGTGTACTTAGATCAAACATACAGAAGGTGTTCACTCTCATGCGTAAAACCAGAATATGTGCGGGATTCATCCCATATCTGGACTTTCCTGCAGGTGTCATTGTGACAAGCATACACATTTGTCCACCACCTGAGTGATTAGACTCTTCTGTTTAAGCCCAGCTCACAAATAAAATTGGGACATATCTTTGGACCTGGAACATAGGTGATGTGGCTCTATTCTCTTGCCTTCGTGCTGCCCACAGGGAGCATTGTAACGTATCACTGAACTTAACACCTAGGAGATTAGAGGCTCCTGCCTGAACTCTGTCCACAGTGAGCCTTGTAGCATATTTCTGCTTCCAACACCAGATGATGTGAATCTCCTTTCTGCCTGCACCTTGCCCACAGGAAAGATTCTGACATATCATTGGGCCCAGTAATCAGTAATCAGGTGATGTTTCTCTCCTGCTATGGCCTTGCCCACAGGGAGTGTGGTGACATATCACTGAGCTCAATATTCAGGTGATTTGACTCTGCTGCTTGTACTCTGATTTCAGGAGGGGATTGTAACATATCCCCTGTGAGCACACAAGTGATGGGACTCCCCTCCTAGCCTCTGACCTCAGAAAACATTGTTACATATCCCTGGCCCAGCCTTAGGTATGTGACTCTCCTACCTGTTCCCTGCCATCAGGGAAGATATTGACAGATCTCAGGCCAAGCATCCTGGTGACGTGACTCTCCTGCTCACTCCCTACCCACAGGAGAGATTGAAACATATATCTTGGCCAGCTCACAGGTGTAATAATGACTCTCATACCTCAAACCTGCCACTAAGAGAAATGCTGTTTTTCATAGGGAGGCTTTGGAAAACCGGTAGGTCTTAACTCTTCCTTTTGTGTGAAGGTCTTAGAGGAATACAACTCTCTCATATTATATAAAGCTCTTAAATGGTACAAAGAGTGTTACCACAGGGATATGTTGCATAACCTAGGGGAGGGGCCCAGTTATATGTCACAATTAGCCCAGGGGGCAGGGCACAGGCATGAGAAGAATCTCACCACATATGTGCTGGCCTAAGTGATACATCATCATCCCCACTGTGGACAGGTCGCAGTAAGAACAGGAGAGTCACATCATTCTTATAATGGTCTCAGAGATACATCACAATGACTCCCCTGGGCAGAAACAAGGGATAAGAGTCACATCACCTGTGGGCTAGGCCCAGAGATGTCACTCTTACTTCTGTGGGCATGTCTCAGGCTGGAGAGGAGAATCACATTACCTAAGCACTGGATCAAGAAATACGTCACAATCTTTCTCATGGGCAAAGCCCAGGTAAGAGAATAGAGCCATATCAAATAGTTCATGGGCTCAGAGATATGTCACAATGCTCCCTGTGGGCAGGGTTCAGGTAGGACAATCACATTACCTTGGTGCTTGTTCAGCAATATATCCGAAAGCCTTCTGAGGGCAGAGCCAAGACAAAAGAGTAAAATCATTTTGGTGTTTTACAAATCGATATGTCACAATCTCCCCCGAGGGCAGAACCTGAAAAAAGGGAAGAGTCACATTAGCTAAATGCTGCGCCGGGTGATAAGTCACAATTCACCCTGTAGGCAGAGACTAGACAGAAGATAGAGTCACATCATCTAGTGGCTGGTGCAGAGATATGCCACCATGCCCTCTCTAGGCAGAGTTCAGACAGGAGAGTTATGTCACCTGTGTTTTGGACCCAGAAATATGTCACAAAAGCTCATGGACAGAGCACAGGAAAGACAGTCACATAACCTGAATATCAGCTTCAGTGGTATGACCCAATGCCTCCTGTGAGCGTTCCAAGGCAGGAGAGGAGACTCACATTACCTGTGTGCAAGGCCCAGTGATACGTCACACGGAGGAGTACCACTGTCTTGCATATTGTGTAAACTATGGTAGAGAAATTGTCACCACAGGGCTCGCCACACTGGTGAGATTATACTTCTCAGATGCACACCACACCAATATTCAGGATGGTCTCTATCACACGTGGAGAGAGCCCACTCTTGAGGTCCTGAATTACACATGCAGACACAGTCCACAACTGGGATTGTGACTTTCATATGTGAACATCCAGCCACAGGTGTGATGCTGACTCATTTTTAAACGCAGCTCATAGGCAGTTAAGAACTCTTATTTGGACCCATCCAAGTAGAAAGATGTTGACTGTCATACCAGGGCTTAAAGCTAAAGGCACAAGGAGGGGTCCGTGCCTGCTTAAGGTTTCAGGGAGAATTGTTACATTCATGCATACTCTATAAAGGCTTCATATGGTGAAGAGAGTGTCCTGACAGGGCCCAGAACAAAAGTAGATTGTGACACTCATATCTACGCTGAGCCAAGAGTAAAAATTGTCATCTTTTCACATGAACACAGCCCATTGTTGAGGTTCCAAATCTCACACCTGGAGGCGGTTGAGAGATGAATAATTGACTCTCATAAGTGGATGCGATCCATGTTTGAGTCAGTGACTCTAAAACCAACATTAAGCAAACACGTGAGGCTGTGACTCCATTAAGGGGCCACGGTCCTCGGGAAAGACTGAAGCTGCCATGCACAGATCCAGTGCACCATTGAGACTGTGACTTCTACACTTAGACCCAACAAACACAATGTGTTTGCTCTCACACCTAGATATGGGACATGTGCAGGATTGTCAGTCTCAGCCCTGGACTTTCCTGGAGGTATAACTGTGAAATATATCTCGGCCCAGCTCGTGAGTGACTTGACTCTTCTGCGTAGCCCAGCCCATGATAAAATTGTGACATTATTGAACCCAGCACCTATGACCCCCCTCTTCTGCCTGGGTCCTGTCAAAAAGAGAGATTGTAACAAATCACTGGGACAAGCACCCACATGATGTGACTCTCCTCTTTTCCCTGGGCCCTGCATATTTTGTATATTGTGACATACTGCTGGGCATAATACCTAGGGAATTGATGGCTACTGCCTGAGCCCTGTTCACAGGGGGCCTTGGGACATCTCTCTGCATTCACCACCTAAAAAAAGTGTGTGCACCCTGCCTACAAAGAAGATTGTAGCAGATCACTTGTCTTAGCAACCAAGTGATGCGAGTCTCCTGTCCTGCCTTGGTGCTGCTCACAGGGGACATTATAACATATACTTGGTGCTGGCCCCATGTTTTGTAATTTTTCTGCCAGGGGTCTACCATATAAGCTATATTGCTGGGTCCAACACCCAGGTTATGCAGCTCTCCTTTCCGTGCTCTGCCTACAGGGGACATTGTGACTTATCTCTGCACCCATCACTCAGGTGATGTGACTTGCTTCTGCTGACTGATTCCTGTTCAAGTGGACATTGTGACATATCAATGGGGGCACCATCTAGCTGATGTAACTATTCTCTTCTGCCTAGGTTCTTCCTGCAGTGGAAATTGTGATGTATCACTGGGCTTAACATCAAAGTGACATTAATTTTTTGCCTTGGTTCTTCCCTCAGAAGACATTGTAATATATTGCTGGGCTCAGCACCAAAACGATGTGGATTTCCTGTCTGGACCCTGCATACAGGAGTCCCTGTGACATATCTCTTGACTCATCAACTATTTGATGTGACTCTCCTCTGTTCCCTGAGCTTTGCCTATAGGAAAGCATCAGCCTGGGCTCCAGAGTCAGCCACCCACCCCTGCACAGACAAGGAGAGGTCTCATTAAGCTTCAGCACAGTCTGGGACCATAGCTTTTTTTGTAACGATTTGTTCGGCATGAGGCCCACTCACAAGGGCCCTTCGTGACTGGACTCAAGGAAAACGAAAAGGCCTACTTGTTTTTGCGATTTTCTGTTGTTTTTCAATAACTATTTCTCAGAAACAGTGTTGGATGAATTCCACAAGGGGTTCACACAACCTGTTCCAGGGCTTAGTGACCATTGTTTCTGTCCATGTTCATTGAGTTGAAATTTAATATTTAACTTTTCCTCCTCATTCAGCCTCAATTTGACACTGAATCATAGGAAAATATTTTTACAGTTATACGGGGAAGGCACAACTGGTATAGATTACAGATAGAGCAGAGGAGAATTAAAAGCACAATTAATAGAAACCACACCCACCATGGCCAACGCCAATGCTAGTTTGACAGCCAGTCCATGATGGGGTCCTGATGGTTAGATTCTAACTGTTTTACTTGTCCTTGCATGTCTTCGGCAAGGAGAGTAATACTGCGAGAACTGTCAGGGATACACACAACATTCAGAATGCAGCAAGACTCAAACCCCTCCTTGGGCTGCGGTAAACATACCTAATGCCATTCGATTTTGCAACACAACAGTACACAGCTGAACAAGTTCTTCTGATAACAACAGAAGTCCAGTGCTACTATCTTAGGAGCTTTTACTATATGTAGACTTAATATTTTAATTTGTTGCTGAAGCAGGATTGTACGAGGGGCAAGGGAGAATACTGTGATAGTTTTCCACCACCAGGGAGTCTGGCACGTTCATAACCAGCTACCTTTGTAAGCATCTAGATTATTGGGGAAGGGAATATTATCCCGGATGGTGAATGGAATTAATGGCACCCCCAAGTGAATCTCCCCATCCAATAAGGGGGCAGATAGGCCACCCATAGGGTCTGCATACCCAGAGGGCCCCCCAGGGGACAGCAATGGTTATACTACAATTATAGTGTATTAAGATGTTATTAAAGTAGCAAAGGAAGTCCAGGTTGGATTGCAAGTGTTGTTGTTTTGGCCCCATTTGTAGTGACAGAGCCATTCAGAAATATTGGCAAGGACAACTCTGCAAGGCAGTCCATTTCCTGTGGTCTCTGGCAATTTTATGCATAGCCAGCATTGACTGCGGTTGGCTTCTGTTGCAGTGGTTGCTGCCCAGTTGATGAATTCACTCTCCACCTCAGACATGATGACCCAGGTACTGATTACTAGTAGACAGGTTATTCTCTGTAACAACAAAACTGAAGGGGAACATGATATTGTTTTTCATTTTTAGGAAATTGTACTACCCTTTTATTTTCTGCTCCCATAGCTACAAGGTCACCAGACTTAGGGGCCAGATCTGATGGAGGCTGTATCCATATTTTCGCTCCAGGATTTAAGCTACCTATACCAGTGGATCTTAATTTCCCAGTTCTGTACGTAGCCTCTGTTGGGGCAGAGATTTCCTCAGGGGTTAATTGTTAACAAGGTACCAGGTACCACTGACAATTGAGCAACCTGAATCTGCAGTCTTGTAACAAAAGAATGTGGAGTGGTATTGTGTAAAGTGAACTTTAACTCTTCCTGGTAATCATTATCAATTATACCACCATACATTATAATGTGTCTCATCGCCAGGCTTGAACGTGTTGTAATCCATTCACCCACATTCAAGTTTGCATTTATGCTGGAAATTTTGGCCTGTTGATCTACCTGCTGTTTAGTCTGTCAAGAGAATGCAGAGATGCATGAGAATCAATATGAAAAACAGCAATAATAGTAATGTGCATCAGGATTCAGGTATCTTCCTAGTATTGTTTTCTCCAAACCTCTTTATTCATTATTCACCATTTGTTTCATTGCCATTCGGGCAACTAGGTAGTAAGACCATTTTCTGCTGACCAACAGTCGGTATACAAGCAACAAATTGCTCTGGCCTCCTCCTGAATAGTTCGGAGGATGGCTTCTAGTTCAGCCAGCTGGCTGCTCACACCCCTCCCTTCATCAGAAACGCTTATGTTTTTAACAGGATTATAAGCCACGGCCTCCCAGCATCAGGTCCCATCAATGTATTTGGTGGAACCATCAGTAACCAAGTGTGTTTCTGATCCTCTGGGCTTAGTTCTTTAAAGGATTTGCCCCATTGGGCAGGGGAGGTTTCCTTCCCTATATGCAGGACTTGCCCTGTGGTTTCCTGAGTTGGCAAGTTTTGCACATCTTCATGTAAAAATGATACCGCTTTTAGTTCTGGCTTATCCTGGTCTTGTATGTACCATTTCCATTTTATGATACTACATTCTTGAGTGTACCCTATCCAATGGGTTTTGAGGGAGCTCATGACCCAAGTCATAATAGGAATTTGGGGCCTCATAAAAACATCATGATTAAAACAAAGGTGTTCTGCTTCCTTCAAGCGCAGTAGCAGGCCAACAGCTGCTTCTCAAAGAGTATAAGCTTTGCCAGCCTCTGGCAGCTTCTGGGTCTAAAACTCCAAAGGTATCTTCTTCCCATCTTGTTTCTACCTAAGGCTCCAATTAGCATGTTGATGTAGGACAGTTACTTGCAGTTCTGTTGACTCATCCTATAAGGGCCATAGATCCAGGGCCAGTTGCTCCGCTTGTTTTGCTTCTTGAAAAGCCACGCTGTCTTTCTCTCTCCAGTGATATTCATAGTGTTTTCTAGTGACTGCATGCAGAGGTTGTAATATGTTACCCAACTGGGGAATATGATGTCTCCAGAATCCAAACAAGCCAATACAATTTTGGACCTCCTTTTCAGTGGTAGGGCTGCAAATTCTAGTATTTTAGCGTTAGCCTTTGGTAAAATGGACTGTTTCCCTGCAGTCCATAGGATGCCAAAGAACTTTACACTTTGTGCAGGCCATTGAATTTTATTAGAGTTAACTTCCCATCCTTGAGATAGGATTTGGGTTTTTACCCTCTTCTGCCATGAAAACTGACTAGTTATTCAGTTTTACCCTGACTGGGCAACTCGGACAGCTGCTTTTTCAGCAATAGGCTGATAGCTTTGAGCCTGATCAGTGAAGACAGGCCTGGCATAGTACCAGGACCAGTCTGGAAGTCAGATTAAAATTTTCCTTTTCCAGCTTACATTTCTCTTGTAACAACCAGTCCCTATATTGACACTTTAACTTATAAGCAGTAAGCAAGCATCATCAATGCTGGGAAATTCCCTCAGCATTACAATTACCAACTGGGACTCCCTGCTGCACCTCACACACAGCCAGTGATTCAAACAAACTTTATCCCACTTAAATGGCAATGCAGATATAATAAGCAAATATATAAGCAAGTTGCAATGCGACGGGGAGAAGGGAAAAGATATATATATATATATATTTAAACTCACCAAACTATGGAGGATTCACCACGAGACTGTGAAGCAACAGCCTGGGCTCCAGATTGGCCACTCATCCGTCCACAGACAACGTGAGATCTCATGAAGCTTTGGCGCAGTCTGGAACCCCAGCTCTTTTTATAATGAGTTATTTGGCATGAAGTCCGGTCAGGAAGGCTCTTCACAACGGGGCTCAAGGAACACAAAAAGGTCAACTTGTTTTTTTGATTGTCTATTGTTTTTCAATAACTAAGATATAGGAATAAATTGAAATAGAGATTTATCTGAAACAGCGCTGGATGAAGGCTTCAAGGGGCTCACACAACCTGTTCCGGGACTTGGTGACCATTGTTTGAGTCCATGTTCAATTGAGTTCAAATTTAATATTTACCTTTTACTCCACAAAGTGTCAAAAGTAATTCCTTCAAATGCAGGAAATTATGTAGCTACTCACAAACTAAACTTCTCAAACAAAAGTCATAAATAGAGTACAGAGATAAAAAATAAAATAAAATCTAACTACATCTGTCTACAGGGGATTCAATTTATTTATTTATTTATTTATTTTAGAGACATGGTATTGCTTTGTTTCCCAGGCTGGTCTCAAACTTCTGGGCTCAAGTTAACCTCCCACCTCAATCTCCTAAAATGCTTGGATGACAGATATGAGCCATCTTACTATATAGTAACAAAAACAGACTAAAAGTGGCAAGATGCATCAAAACAATTTTATGCAAATCGTAATGAAATGAAGACAATGTCATGAGCACATTATGCAAAATACTTTTTAAATAACTGTCTTAGTTTATAAAATAAACTATAAGTTAAAACTGTCAAAGAAAACAAAGGACAAAATAATAAAAAAGTTTATTCACTGGAAACCTAGGAAAATTATATACATTTATATAATACACGTTTATATAATTGTGTGTATTTATCTAATTATGTATACAGACACACATATATATGAACCTCACATGAAGATTTTAAAATAAATCAATAATATTTTGTCAGAACATAAACAAAAAACTGCAATATACTGAGAACAATATTTTAATACACCAGTTCTGTAATTAATAATAAAGCCAGAGAGAATGTTAAAAAGAAAACAGAGGACATGAAAATAATGTAAAACAGTTAGATGTAACAGATGCATAGAGATCACTCTACACAACAACAAAACTCACAGTCTTGTCAAAAGCTCATAAAACATTGTCCTAAAAATAAATATAAGGAAAAAAATTTTTTAACAGAATTAAAAAAAATTGAATATTACAGAAAACACTTCAAAAAATCAATCAACCCAGGAGCCGGTTTTTTGAAAAGATTAACAAAATAGATAGACCACTAGTAAGACAAATAAAGGAGAAAAGAGAGAAGAATCAAAGAGACGCAATAAAAAACGACAAAGGGGATATCACCACCAAACCCACAGAAATACAAACTACCATCAGAGAATACTATAAACACCTCTACGGAAATAAAGTGGAAAACCTAGAAGAAATTGATAAATTCCTGGAAACATCCACACCTCCAAGACTAAACGAGGAAGAAGTTGAATCTCTGAGTAGACCAATAGCAGATTCTGAAATTGAGGCAATAATTAATAGCTTACGAACCAAAAAAAGTCCAGGACCAGATGAATTCACAACTGAATTCTACCAGAGGTACAAAGAGGAGCTGCTACCATCCCTTCTGAAACTATTCGAATCAAGAGAAAAAGAGGGAATCTTCCTTAACTCATTTTATGAGGTCAGCATCATCCTGATACCAAAGCCTGGCAGAAGCACAACAAAAAAACAATATCCCTGATGAACATCAATGCAAACATCCTCAATAAAATACTGACAAACCAAATCCAGCAGCACATCCAAAAGCTTACCCACCACGATCAATTCAGCTTCATCCCTGGGATGCAAGCCTGGTTCAACATATGCAAATCAATAAACATAATTCATCACATAAACAGAACCAATGACAAAAATCTCATGACTATCTCAATGGATGCAGAAAAGGCCTTCAACAAAACTCAACAGCCTTTCATGATAAAAACTCTAAATAAACTAGGTATTGATGGAACACATCTGAAAATAATAAGAGCTATTTATGACAAACCCAGAGCCAATATCATGCAGAATGGGCAAAACCTGGAAGCATTCCCTTTGAAAACCAGCACAAGACAACGATTCCCTCTCTCACCGCTCCCACTCAACATAGTATTGGAAGTTCTGGCCAGGGCCATCAGGCAAGAGAAAGAAATAAAGGACATTCGATTAGGAAAAAGAGGAAGCCAAATTGTCTCTGTTTGCAGATGACATGATTGTATATTTAGAAAACCCCATTGTCTCAGCCCAAAATCTCCTTAAATCTGATAAGCAACTTCAGCAAAGTCTCAGGATACAAAATAATATGCAAAAATCACAAGTATTTCCATACACCAATAACAGACGAACAGAGAGCCAAATTATGAGTGAACTCCCACTCAACAATTGCTACAAAGAGAATAAAATACCTAGGAATCCAACTTACAAGGGATGTGAAGGACATTTTCAAGGAGAACTACAAACCACTGCTCCATGAAATAAAAGCGGACACAAACAAATGGAAGAACATTCCATGCTCCTGGAAAGGAAGAATCAATATCATGAAAATGACCATGCTGCCCAAGATAACTTACAGATTCAATGCTATCCCCATCAAGCTACCACTGACTTTCTTCACAGAATTGGAAAAAACTACTTTGAAGTTCACATAGAACCAAAAAACAGCCTGCATAGGCAAGAAAATCCTACACAAAAAGAGTAAAGCTGCAGGTATCACACTACCTGACTTCAATCTATACTACAGGTCTACAGTAACCAAAACAGCATGGTACTGGTACCAAAACAGATATATAGAGCAATGGAAAGAAACAGAGGCCTCAGAAATACCATCACACATCTACAACCATTGGATCTTCGACAAATGTGACAAAAACAAACAATGGGGAAAGGATTCCTTATTTAATAAATGTTGCTGGGAAAAATGGCGAGCCATATGCAGAAAACTGAAACTGGATTTCTTCCTTACACCCTATACATAAATTGACTCAAGATGGATTAAAGACTTAAATGTAAGACCCAAAACCATAAAAACCTAAGAGAAAACCTGAGCAATACCATTCAGGACATAGGCATGGGCAAAGACTTCATGACTAAAACACCAAAAACAATGGCAACAAAAGCCAAAATAGACAAATGAAATCTAATTAAACTTAAAAGCTTCTACACAGCAAACGAAACTATCATTAGAGTGAACAGGCAACCTACAGAATGGGAGAAAATTTTTGCAATCTACCCATCTGACAAAGGACTCACATCCAGAATCTACAAAGAATTTAAACAAATTTACAAGAAAAAAATGAGCAATCCCATCAAAAAGTGGGCAAAGGATATGAACAGACACTTCTCAAAAGAAGACATTTATGTAACCAACAGACATGAAAAATTGCTCATCATCACTGGTCATCAGAGAAATGCAAATGAAAACCACAATGAGATACCATCTTACGCTAGTTAGAATGGGGATCATTAAAATGTCAGGAAACAACAGATGCTGGAGAGGACGTGGAAAAACAAAAACGCTTTTACACTGTGGGTTGGAGTGTAAATTAGTTCAAACGCTGTGGAAGACAGTGTGGTAATTCCTCAAGTATCTACAACCAGATATACCATTTGACCCAGCAATCCCATTACTGGGTATATATCCAAAGGATTATGAATCATGCTACTATAAAGACACATGCACACGTACGTTTATTGTGGCACTGTTCAGAATAGCAAAGTCTTGGAACCAACCCAAATGTCCATCAATGATAGACTGGATTAAGAAATTGTGACACATATACACCATGGAATACTACGCAGCCTTAAAAAAGGATGAGTTCATGTCATTTGCAGGGACATGGATGAAGCTGGAAACCATCATTCTCAGCAAACTATCACAAGGACAGAAAAACAAACACTGCATGTTTTCACTCATAGGTAGGAGTTAAACAATGAGAACACGTGGACACAGGACAGGGAACATCAAACGCTAGTGCCTGTTTGGGGGTGGGGGGCTATGGAAGGGATAGCATTAGGAGAACACTTAATGTAAATGTTGAGTTGATGGGTGCAGCAAACCAACATGAGTAATGTTTATACAGGCAAATGAACAGAGAATTATGTTGGCAATAGACGTGTGGTTGATTCATATTTGACTGATTCATATTCAACTGTACACAGTTGAATATAGTCATAAAAAATTATAATATATAGGCAGAATCTAAAAACACAATTAAATAATGTAAGGCAGCCTATCCTAACAAGGAAATACAAGAATATATAATATTAGAAAATAAAATTAAATAAACATTAGCCTGTGAAATACCGAATAAAGAAAGCATGCAACGGAAGAAGACTCTTTCTAGATAACTAGCATGTTCAACCATAACTGGGCTCCCATAAAGAGCAGATTTTGAATTCTTAGCATATGGTTAGAGTAACAAAATTGCACAACAAATACATTATAATCTCCCATAAAGAGCATTTAGAAGAAAATTTTAATAAAGATTTCAATGATATTAGAGACACTTTTTATTATGTTCTTAATATATTTCTCCTCTTTTTATACAAATGGAAAGGCTATAATTTATTTTTTTTTTAATTTTTTGAGATGGAGTCTCGCTTTGTCACCCAGGCTGGAGTGTAGTGGCGAGACCTCGGCTCACTGCAACCTCCACCTCCCTGGTTCACGCCATTCTCCTGCCTCAGCCTCCTGAGTAGCTGGGACTACAGGCGCCCACCATCACGCGCGTCTAATTTTTGTGCATTTTTAGTATAGACGGGGTTTCACCGTGTTAGCCAGGAAGGTCTTGATCTTCTGACCTCGTGATCCACCCGTCTCGGCCTCCCAAAGTGCTGGGATTACAGGCTTGAGTCACCGCTCCTAGCCGGCGATATTTTTTGTAGTTTTAGCAGAGACAGGATTTCACCATGTTGGCCAGGCTGGTCTTGAACTCCTGACCTCGTGATCCACCTATCTCAACCTTTTAATGTGCTGCGATTACAAGCATGAAACACAGCACTGGCCTATAATTTATTTTTTTTAAAGCAAAGAAAAGCCTTACATTTTTACATATGGGAACAACATGAATATTGTAAAATATGCTGTGGAAAACTACAATATAATAAGCAATTAGAAATAAATTATACTATCATTCAGATAAATGTTGAGGAAAGTAAATGGAAACACTAATGATAAGTTTTTCTATGCAGTGAACTTAGACACAAACTAAAACTTTTCTTAATGTGATGTGCATACTATCCAATTCACTTTTTATATAACACATAAATTCAAGTATGTTTTCTGAAACCCCTGAAGCTAAAGTTATAGGCTAATTTGACATACGTAAAAACAGGACAGGGAAAACGTACAGATCACAGTCCCACTAAGCTTTATATAAGATTAATTAATAAAATAACTCATTAAGAAATAATGTAACAGTTAAGAATTTGTTCTATTCCTGGCATGTTTCTAAGTTTTTCTATGGATTAAGGTCTTTAAAAATTCTTTGAGATGAGTAGATACAATCAACTATTCCACAGGTGACATGTTTGGCATAGAGAGTTCACATTTCTAAGTTAGTTTCTACTAAGGGAAAGAAAACTTTTTGACCTACATTACCAGAGATGAAAAAAAGAATAAAGTGAAATAGAAGATTCAACTTTATGATATGTGCTGAGGTGCTTTGGGCTCTGATAAATTTTTTTTCTGATTTTTTTGCAGGAACACATTTGAAATAATAGGACTGAAAATTATGAGGAAGAAACATTTGTCCTCGGTGTTTCTGAAATATGTGAACCAAACCCCAATGCCTGCACTTTTGCTCTCACAAACTTCTGACATGAGGCACAGATTTTTACAAAACAGCTTAACATAAAAGTCTCACAAAATGTGCAGATTTCCTCAGATCCCAAAAACAATGGAAAAGCACTCAGACCACAAGGGCTTCATGGGAACAGCAGAAAGAAGAGGCGAACTTTGGCTGTCACTGTGAATGCCCTGGAATGTTAGTGGATGAACAGAGAAGCCTTAGAAGATTTAAGAGCATAATAAGCATAGGGTAGGAAATTTCCACCTGTGGCAGCAAAAGAAGTAAATTTAGAATTTTCCAGAACCAATTTCTTTGAAGCAGAACTTCCAACACCACATTTTTAAGGTTTTCTCCTTGGCCTTTGCACCTCTCATCTTTGTTATTTGTTCATTCTTCCCTATTGGGGTGTTGCCTATTATTCTCTCTCTTTTTACATTCCAAAGACATTTCCTTTACTGTAGGACAGGGGCATCCACGGGAGACTACAGCCATGAGTTCTTAGTTTCTGTTTCTGGTTGAGCCAGTAAGGCCCTTTCCTCATCCCCCTTTTCCACTTATCACTAGACACAGAACCCAAAAACCATTGCTGCAGGCTGCTAAAAACCTAAAACAAAACAGAGCCATAACAAAAACAAAACAAGGCGGGTTGGAAAAGCTTGCTGTACGAGGCAACCAGGTGTGGCTTATATTCACCACATCCCTTCTTCTTTCCCAGAACAGCAATTGGGCTCAAGAGAAAACGTCCAACTTTTAGTATATCCCTCAGTATAGAATGAGAACAGTGGAACATATGTTCAAAGGTTTGGCTTTGTGGGCTACCGCTGATGACTAGATTCTGTCTCCCCAAACAGGGAATGCTAAAGGAAATGGCAGAGTAGTGAGAATGATAACTTATGACTGCTGAGAAGAGAAGTTACATGCTTACCACAGCCTCAGAGAAACAAACACTAAAATCAGCTGCGGAAGCAAAGGACCACAGTGTCTGGAAAACAATGGGAAAAATACATTTACCTTAAAAATACACACACAAGCCCAGAGAAGACACATTGAAGACACTGTTAATGAAGTACCAGGATGTACAGCCTCACTGATTGTTGTATTATCTTGTAGTAAGCAAGTTTGTACATACTACATTACACAGTTGTTTTATAAATTTCTGAATCTCATCAAAAGATTGCAGGGCATACAGAAAAGGACGAAAACATGTCCCAATTGAAGAAATAAAATAAACCTACAAATATTGACCTTTAAAAATCTTTGTTGACTTTTAAAGGTCAAAATTTGTAGGTTTATTCTTTGTTGTTGTTGTTTTTGCATTATATAATTTTAAAAATCAAAATAATTATCAAAGCTCCTTAATGATATGAACACTCCTCCAGTCCGCAGGGCTCCGGCAAGGGAGGAGCTTAGACACCATGCGGGACACCCGGGTGGACCCCCAACCCACGCCCGAGGCTCAGAGCAGGAGCAAGGACCTGGCTGCACCAGGCCGAAGCCGCCTCCACCCCCAGCGGTCGCGGACTCCAGGAGCTCCAGACCTGGGGTCGTGGTGAGATTCGTTGATTGACTGCGCGATGGTGGCTGAGTTGCAACCAAATGGGTTTCATCACCTTAAATGGTTTTGAACCAATGAAGCTATATTCCCTTAAAGAGACGGACAGCCCATCGTGTGAACTATAGAGTTTGTGAACAAATTTATATTGGGTTCATAGTGGCATCATGCACACAGACTCCTGCGAGTTCCCCTAAGTTCTTAGAGGACTGTTTTACCTTTTGATCTGAGAGTTGCAAAGTTCCGTAAAGAATGGCCCTGTGGATAAGCGCTAAGTCAAGAGACAGCGATTGGACAGAATTTGTGAAGGAATTCGCCGCCAGATCACGAAAGACCCCCTAAGCCCCCGCTCACTGGCAGCGTTCCTGGTCGGCCGTGACTGCACTGTGGACATGCCCATCCTGAAGGATCTGGCCACCGTGGCCTTCTATGATGCAGTCCACGCAGGAAATCCACGAGAAAGTTCTAAACAGAGCCGTGGGCCCCATGATGCACCACACAATCACCTCACTAGGGAGGTTCTGGCAAATTTCAAGTCCTTGAGAGTGATCGTGGGGGTGGGCAGTGGCTATGACAACGTGGACATCAAGGCTGCCAGCGAGCTCGGAATTGCTGTGTGAAACATCCCGTCCGCAGCCGTGGAAGAGACAGCCAATTCCACCAACAGCCACATTCTCAACATGTACCGGAGGAACACATGGCTGTACCAGGCACTGTGGGAAGGCAAGCGGGTTCAGAGCATGGAGCAGATCTGCGAGGTGGCCTCGGGAGTGGCCCGCATTCGTGGGAAGACGCTGGGCCTCATCGGCTAGGGTCGCACGCAGCAGGCTTTTGCAGTTCCAGCCACAGCCTTTGGATTCAGCGTCATGTTTTATTACCCCTACTTGCAGGATGGGATCGAGCAGTCCCTGGGCATGCAGAGGGTCTACACCCTGCAGGATTGGCTGTATCAGAGCGACTGCATCTCCTTGCACTGCAGTCTCAACGAACTTAAGCACCACCTCATCAATGACTTTACCATAAAGCAGATGAGGCAGGGAGCATTCCTTGTGAACGCAGCCCGTGGTGGCCTGGTGGACGAGAGAGCCTTAGCACAGGCCCTCAAGGAAGGCAGGATACGAAGGGCAGTCCTCGACGTGAACGAGTCGCAGCCCTTTAGCTTTGCTCAGGGTCCGTTGAAAGATGCCCCCAATCTCATCTGCACTCCTCACACTGCCTGCTACAGCCAGCAGGTGTCACTGGAGATGAGGGAGACAGCTGCCACCGAGCTCCGCCGAGCCATCACAGGTCGCATCCCAGGAAGCTTAAGAAACTGTGTGAACGAGGAATTCTTTGTCACGTCTGTGCTTTTGTGGGAAATAGACCAGCAAGAAATTCATCCAGGCATCTTGGGCGTGGGTCCAGGAGGACTTCCTGCATCCATGGAAGGGACCTTCCCTGGAGACATCCTGGTGACTCATAAACTCCCGACAGTGGCACATCCTTCCCAAGCACCCTCTCCCAACCAGCCCTCAAACACGGGGACAATCGAGAGCACCCCAACGAGTAATAACAGAGAATGCCGGAAGGTAATCATTCAGATACACTTTTGAAGAAGAGACAGTGAAAAATAGACAAACTAAGAGAAAAAGAATCTGACGCTCTTTTTAGCTGATTCTGGACATATGCTCATTGGTTTTGCAGTGTTAAAACTGCAAGACCTAGAAAACTGAAGATGTCGTCTGCTTACGGAAGCTCTGAAAGACTAGGATGTGATTTATTAACCACCAACTTCCGTTATTATGTGTTTAGTTTTTCATCTGTGCGTCAAATCACAAAGAATAAATACAACTTTTTCCTTTGTCAGTCCCTTGGGCACAGCAGGTCAGGAACACCCAGCTCAGAATGTTGCATCAAGACTTCAAACATCAAAATAAAAACCATGAGGAGGAAATCCCCATCTTGTGACTTGAGTCCCTTCAGTCTACAGGGACTGGTTACAGCTTTTTGCTAATAGGAAGATCACATTACTAGAAAATATGGAGTAAACTGTTTGCCTGTGGTAGACATCCTCACGCATAGGATTGAAGACAGTACCGGGTCCTGTACAGAGAAGCGTCTCTCACATCTGAACTGCATATTGAGCGGGCAAGTTGGTTGTAAGTTCAGTAAAAGCCTCCGATAATGCAAAAAAAAAAAAAAAGTATTAAATTTCACACGCTGTTTGTAATCAAGTATATTTTCTCAGTTTCAGATCCTCTGGTATTTTATTTAATGGGAAGTCTTGCACTAAAAGGGTTCAAGAAAAATAATATTGCATTTTCTTATGTCACAGGAAACACTTTTAATGGTAACTTGTCAGATTGTCTATGAACAAACCCACTTTTTAAGACATTGATAAAGTCTTCTTTTCTTCACGTTGTGTTTTATACAAGAACACTTCAGCTGTATTGGATGTGACTGATTTTAACAAATTATATTAGATTTGCATCAATTAGTTACATGTTCTATTCATAGTCTTTTGTGAATATTGTCTTTTTGTTTAAAAAGATGGCCTGTTTTGATCCTTTGATTAGGGACATTCCCGTTTTTGTAAGAAAAGATAAATTTTTAAAACTGTCCCAAACAGAAAAATAATGGCTATCAGAAGTACGTTTTGTTTTAGTGTAGTGCGAATTACCATTACTGTAGTTGTTTATTGTAAAGATGGACATTTAGCATTCAGTGCAGTTTTCAATAAAATGTGATTAGAAAAAACTGCTTAATGAACAAAAACAGAACATAGACAACAAAAGAATATTAGAAGAAGTGATACATAAAGAAAATGAGATATCAATAAAAAGATTTTTAAAAACCAACAATTGTGAATCTGAAGAACATAATAGCTATATTAAAAATTTAATCAACAGTCACAAAAGCAGACTAATAAAGGAGAAAAAATTACACAATTGATGACATTGTAGTTATAAATATTGAGTGATGAAAACAAATTTTTTAAGCAGAATGGAGGAAAAAGTATGGGACGTACTGCACATCGTCAAGGGGACCATTATATTTATGAAAGGAGTCTTACAAAAACAATATAGGAGAAAAGTAATAAAGAGATTATTTTTAAAAAGTAGCTGAGAAATCCCCACATGACAAGATAATTAAACAAAAAGAAATACTTCCAAACAAAAACCTTCAACTGGAGTAATATCACTTCAGAAATAAAAAAACTAAACCTTTCCAAAATAAATAAAAGTTGATTGTGTTACTAACCACTAGAAGAGTCCTAAAGGAAGTGTAAAAGAGTCTATCACGTCCAAAAATGAAATGATGCTGCAGAGCATCATAGCAGCACATGAAAATAGAAAGCTCTCTATTAAAGGTAAATATATAAACAGGTAAAGAAATCTCTACTGTCATAATCATGGTGCACAAAACTTTCAAAATATTGCCATGGAGTTTAAAACATGAAGCAGAAATCTGCATAAATTTGTGATCATAGACCATAAGGAAAGATAATATGTGATATTAATAAAACAGTGGGAGTGTGAAGAGGTACAACTTTGCATTCAGTTGAAATATGGTTGTTCTATACTGTCATAACTTTAAGATGATTTATGAAGTCTTTATTTCTCAGGATGATTACCAAAAAAACCTGTAGAATGTATGCAAAGGCAAATGAGAAAGAAATTCAATCACGTCACTACAAAATCAACAAACAGAAATAAAGCAGTAAGAGAAAAAATGATAAATAACACATCTACAAGAAACACAGAAGACAATTACAAATAATAAAGTAACTTCATTAAATGCAGTAATGACTTCAAATATAAAAAGTTAAATACCTTAAAGAAAATTAATAAATAATTTAATGGATTAAGAACAAAGAAGATCCAGCAATGTGCTCTCTACAAGAGTCATTCCAGCTCTAAGGACTCAAATAAGTTGAAAGTAACAGTATAAAGAAAATATATTTTATGCAAAGAGTAGCTAAAATTGGAGGGCCATGGTCATAATTATACTAAACAAAATATATTTTAAATCAAAAATATGAACAAGAGACAGATTGGTATTGTGTTTTTGTTTTTGTTTTTGGAGACAGAGTCTCATTCTGTCACCAGGCTGGAGTGCAGTGGCACGATCTCGGCTCACTGCAACCACAACCTCCCTGGTTCAATCGATTCTCCTGCTTCAGCTTCCCGAGTAGCTGGGACTACAGGCACACGCCGCCACCTCACCCAGCTAATTTTTGTACTTTTTAGTAGAGATGGGGTTTCACCTTGTTGGCCAGGATGGTCTCGATCTCTGGACCTCATGATTCACCCGCCTCGGCCTCCCAAAGTGCTGAGACTACAGGCGTGAGCCACTGCGCCCGGCCGAGAGAGATTGGTATTATGTAATGGTGAGATGGATTAACTTTCCAGGAATCTATAACAATAATTTATAAATCATATATATATAATTTGAAAAATCTGCAAAAATATACCATTGAGATTTTGACAAAAATTACATTAAATTTTTGTATTACTATAAATAGCACTGACATCTTTCTTTCTTTTTTTTTTTTAGAGAGACAGAGTTTCTTTCTCTCAGGCTGGAGGGCAGTGGCACGATATCTCGATAGGCTCACTTCAACCTCCTCCTCCCAGGTTCAACTGATTCTCGTCTTTCAAATATGTAAAACAAATATTGACAGAAGTCAAGCAAGAAATACATAGCAACACAACAACGGTGGACTTCAAGACTCCACTTCAGTAATGACTAGAATAGTCAGAAGTAATATCAGTAAGAAAGCCAAACCTGAACATTATAGACCCAACCAGCATTTACAGAACTCTCCAATTTAAAGGAGCAAAATCTGCAATATTCTAAATCACACATGGTACATTCTGTTAGGATACATGTCTTATTAAATTTAAGAAAACCGAAGCCATACAATGTAAATGAAACTAGAATTCAAAAGCAAGAAAATGTGGCAAATATGTAAATAAGAGGAAATTAAGCAAAATCTTTCATATAGTCTTGCTCAAGTGTCAGGTGATTTAATATTGTTAAGATGTCAGGGCCGGCATGAGGCTCATGCCTGTAATCCTAGGACTTTGGGAGGCCAAAGTGGGTGGATCACCTGAGATCAGAAGTTTGAGACTAGCCTAGTGAATATGGCAAAACCCTATCTCTACTAAAAATACAAAAGTTAGCTAGACATGATGGTGCACGACTGCAATCCCAGCTACTCTGGTGGCTGAGACTGGAGAATTGCTTGAACCTGGGAAGCGGAGACTGCAGTGAGCACATCTCGCACCCCTGCCCTTCAGCCTGAGTGACTCACTAAAACTCCATCTCCAAAAAAAAAAAAAATGTTGCCAGTACTACTCATGATGATATAAAAATGTAAGGTAATTTTTGTCAAAATCCCAATGGTATTTTTTTTGCAGAATTTTTGTGTATAATTCTAAACGTTGCTTAGGAAAGGTGACTAGCCAAACACCCTTTAAAAAGAACAAAGAGGTATTACATTTTCTGATTCAAAATCATGATACAAAGCTACAAAAATAAAAACAATATGGTATTGCCACAAAAACAGATACATAGATGACGAAACAGAATAGAGATCCCAGAAATAAACCCTTGCATATGTGATAAAATAATCTTCCATAAGCTTTCCATGACCACACAATAGAAAAATAAGAATCTATTTAACAAAGAATTTTCCAAATTGAATATTTACAGAGAAAAAAATAAAATTGGATGCTTCCTTTGTATCATATATAAAAAGAAAAGTTTTTTAAATGAATTCAATACTTAAACATAAAACCTAATAAAATTCTTAGAAGTAAACATAAGGGAAAAGTTTATGACATAAGTCTTAAAACTCTTTCCTTAAGTTTGACATCAAATTCATAAGCAACAAGGAAAAGAACAACGACCAAAAAAAGGGACTACATTAAGCTTCAACTATTCTACACATCAAATAAAACATTTAGTGCCATACAAACGTCACCTAATAAGTGGGTGAAAGCTAGGCATGGTGTCTCATGCCTTTAATTCTACAACTTTAGGAGGCCAAGGCAGAACAATCACTTGAGGCCAAAAGTTTGAGACTAGCCATGAAAACATAGCAAGACCCTGTCTTGTATAGGGTTATATATATGCATACATACATACATAAAACAAAAAAGAGTAAAAATATTTTCTAATCACATATTTGGTAGGTGTTAATTTTCAAAATATATAAATTCCTAAAACTCAACAACAAAAAAAGTTAATAACTTGATTTAGAATGGCACATGTTTGAAATGACTTTCTCCAAAGAAGACATAGAAATGACTAGGCATTTAAAAGGATACTCGACAACTCTCTTCTAGAAAAATACAAAGAAAAGTCACAATAATCTATCACATCAAACCTATTTTTAAAATAGTATGAAAGCTCTTCAAAAAATTTAAAATGAGATTATTTTACAATCCAGCAAACCCCATTCTGGCTATGTATTTAAAATATACAACACATGATCCGGAAGAGATATTTGCACACCCAAATTTATTGCAGCATTACTAACACAAGCCAAAAGGCAGAAACAACCCAGCTGTCCCTTGACCAATGAAGAGATTAATAACAAGTGGCACATACACAAAGTCGAATATTATTCAGTCTTTAAAAAGTCACATTATATGATTATTCTTGAGAATATCACGTTAACTGAAATAAGCCAGGAACAAAGTGACAGTCTATGATTCCATTCATAATCAGGTATCTTAAGTAGACAAACTCATAGGAAAAAAATAGTTAGAATGGTGTTTGTCAAGGACTGAAGAGATGGTAAAATGGGCAATTGTCTTAAAAGACATTTAATGTTAGTTTTGCAAGACATAGAAGTTCTACAGATCTTTTGCATAACTATGTGAATGTACTTAACGCTAATGAAATATACACTTAAAAAGAATTAAAATGGTAAATTTTACATTATGTGTTTTTACCACAATCGCAGTTTTTAAAAGGAAAAATATGGACTTATAAAGCTTTCCAAAAATTAAATTTTGTTCACAAAAGATTTTCTCTCACACAAAGGAAGTATAGATTTATAATTAAACTCATTGTGAAATTAAGATTATTTCAATGACTATTCATCCTCACAAGATAAGACAACCACTGAAAATCAGCCAAAAAATATGGAAGATAAGCCAGGAGCAAAGTTGGGGACATATTTATAGAGACAAACACATATATAATTTAATTTTGAAAACGTATGACCGATTTATATTTTAATTAAACCCAACATTAGTTTCCTGAGTGAAATTTGGTTTTCAGTTTGGGCAAATGAAGCCCTTTCTGTGGTTAAAAGGATTCTTTCTTCTCCGTTTCTTCATATGGACCTGTGCTGGGGATTGGTCAGCTGTTCAAGTGCAATGCACTCAGTTTTGGTTCTGTGCCAGGATTAAACCTACGATATTTCACATTTCATATATAAACCCCGATGAAGTGTTTCTAGGAGATGGCTGCCTCATAACCTATATTTTGCCAAATGTTTACTATGAATTTCACCACCATCCTCTTGAAGGTGGTATTGTAACTAAAACTCTTCAGGACATTCTACTTAAAACTAAAATCACGTATATCTCAAGAAACTCCTTTCTGATTTGAAATGCCTCTGTCATGTATTCTCTGCAATCAGCATCCTCTTTCAAAGAAAGTAGAAAGGACAGATGAGGAAACTGATAGTGTTACTGCATGGGAGACAGAGGTGAGGATACACATGGCGGATGAAAACATGGAAGTTATTTCTACAGCACGATCTTGTAAGTGTCTGACTGCTATGCTCCCTTGTATATCAAATGATGTACCTTTATTGCAAGAGAAGATAGTGCGCTGTTTACCTTGACATTGAGAGGCAATTTTGAATTTCTGTCGTGATTGCTTAGGACTGAGGATTTAATGTGCTATTTTGTGGAAATCTTAGAAGCAGTAATGGGATTTAATGATCTTAACTATCATCCATCTGAAAAATCTAACGCGATTTTAAATCAAATTGCCGGCTGCTTCCACCGTTCCCTTTTTAAACCAGGAGCTGCCGTTGCTTTTAACATTATGAAGTTGAATCTATGAATAGTTTGTACTATTAACATTTTTTTAAAAATCCACATTGACTTGAAGTGTACAGGCAGAGTTGGAAATTATAACATCCAAAGTTATAATACATAAGTAAAACCCAAAATAAAATCAACTGCTGCCCTGGAACCTATTCTAAATAATCGAGACAGTAATATGGAATTGTAAAGAAAAATAAGAAACATATTTACTCATAAAATCTTGCAAGCAAAGTTTTTTTCTTTTTTTGAGACAGAGTCTCACTCTGTCACCCAAGCTGAAGTGCAGTGGCGAGACGACGGCTCATTTCAACCTCCGCCTCCTGAGTTCAAACCATTCTCCTGCCTCAGCCTTCACTGAGATTACAAGCACCTGCTACCAGACCAGGCTACCTTGCATATAAACTTGATATATCATTTATGAAAATACTTTTTAGATAACTAAAATATTCTACTGTGACTGTGCATTCATGAAGTTCGGGTATCTTGAATCATTGGCATGCAGTGTGTGACAGTAAAATTTCACAGAAAATACACTATAACCATTAATAAAAGGCTCTAATAAGAGAACTTTAATGCATAAGAATTGAAAAGACACCATAAATAATTTCCACTGTATTTTTAATACACTGATGTTATTCTTACACAAAGTAAAAAGCCTGGGTAAGTTGTGGTGGCTCACACCTTTAATTCCAGCAATTTTGGAGGCCGAGGTAGCAGATTGCTTAAGCACAAGAGTTCACAACATGCCTGGGCAGGATAGGGAGACCCTGTCTCTGCAAATAATAATAAACAGCCAAGTGTGTTAATACACATTTGTGGTCCCATCTGCTCAGGAGGCTGAGGCAGGAGAATTGCCTGAGCCTGAGTGGTCAAGGCTAGAGTGAGCTGTGATTATGCATTGCATTCCAGCCCAGGTGACACAGTGAGACCCTGTTTAAAGAAAAAAACAAACAAAAACTAAAAATTAACTAGGAGTAGTGGCATGCACCTGTACTCCCAGCTACTTCAGAAGCTGAAGTTAGAAAATCATTTGAGCCTGAGAGTTTGAGTCTGCAGTGAACCATAATTGAGCTACTGAACTCCAGTCTGTGTGACAGAGCAAGGCCTTGTCATAGATAGATAGATGATAGATGATAGATAGATAGATAGATAGATAGATACATAGATAGATAAATAGATGGAATACACCTGGAGAAAGAGTAAATTTTAATGTAGTGTGATGTAATTTTTAAAATAAACTTTATGTGTATCACTTAGAAATTTATAGAACAGGCCGGGGGCGGTGGCTCACGCCTCTAATCCCAGCACTCTGAGAAGACGAAGTGGGCAGATCAGGGGGCCGGATATCGAGACCAAGACCATCCTGGCTACCACGGTGAAACCCTGTCTCTACTAAAAATACAAAAAATTAGTTGGGTGTGGTGGCGGGCAACTCTAGTCCCAGCTACTCGGGAGGCTGAGGCAGGAGAATGGCGTGAAACCGGGAGGCAGAGCTTGCAGTGAGCCGAGATCGCGCCGCTGCACTCCAGCCTGGGCAACAGAGTGAGAGTCTGTCTCGAAAAAAAAAAAAGAAATTTATACAACTTAGCCAGAAGAATAAAAAACAACCTCTTAACAGTTTTTTCAAATAAAAAAAGTGAGTTTGAAGAGAAGGGAATAAAGGGGACTTTCATTTTAATGTGTTTTTATTTTTTGAGTCAGGGTCTCACTTTGTTGCCCACATGGAAGCGCAGTGGTGTGATTTCAGCTCACTGCAAACTTGGCCTCCCAGGCTCAAACAATCCTCCCACCTCAGCCTCCCTAGTAGCTGGGAATACAGGTGTACATCACCACAACTGGTTAATTTTTGTATTTTTGTAGAGAGAGGGTTTTACCATGTTGCTCACACTGGTCTTGAACTTCTGGGCTCAAACAATTCACCTGCCTTGGGCTCCCAAAGTGCTGGGATTGAGCCACTAGGCCAACCAAGTTTTTTGTTTTGTTTTGTTTTTGAGATGAAGTCTCACTCTGTTGCCCAGGCTAGAGTGCAATGGCACGATCTTGGCTCACTGCACCATTTGCCTCCTGGGTTCAAGTGATTCTCCTGCCTCAGCCTCGTGGGTAGCTGGGATTATAGGCACCCGCCACCGAGACCAGCTAATTTTTGTATTTTTTAGCAGAGATGGGGTTCCACCATGTCAGCTAGGCTGGCCTCAAATTACTGACCTCATGATCCACCCACCTCGGCCTCACAAAGTGCTGAGATTGCAGGCATGAGTCACTGCTCCCAGAGACCAGCCAAGACTTTTACTTTATAAAGATATTTATGATGTTTTCTTTTCTTTTTACAGTATGTATTGCATTTATAATTGGAGATACAAAAAAAGGTGACTGTTACTGTTTGACAGCAAGGCAGTAGTATTATCTTCATCAATATTTGCAACTTCATTCACAGGAACCTGTAAGAGAAAGCCCAGACAAAACTTTAAGGCAAAGAAGTTACACTTGTAAAAAATGAGAGGACTATTTTTTTATAATAACAAATATTCCAGGTGAGGACTGGTCAGGATCTACCACTGCTCCATCTCACTTGATAAGTCTCATGCCTGCCAGGGTAAGAAGGAGCAGAGAGAAGGACAAATGCCAGTGAGTTTCCTCTCCCACTAAGGATCTGTTTGTCAAGTTTCCTACCATCAAGTGGAAGATGTACTAAAAATAAAATGTACCCTTGCAGATGCTAGCAGAGAGGCACAAAATAGAAAAGGAGGTAAGCCCACACATTGTGGAGAAAGAGATCCAACTTAAGATTCAAAATGCACCAGAAAGCTGTGTAAAGTTAATAAAATTACTCAAAATCTTGGAACATTTGTTTCCTCACCTGTAAAATGGGGATCATGTGCCTACTTCACAAGTTGTTTTGACAGTTAAATTCACAGAGATATTTAATAGAGCCTGCTATGGCAAGTGTTCACATTAACAAAGTAGTATCAAACTTCAAAATATGGGAAAGGTATTTTGAATAATGTCTATGAGGCCAAGGACAACATGCCCAGCTTCATAATCAATCCCAGCCACATTACACTGAGGAGATCTACAGGGCAACTATATTTCTTCAACAAATTCCATTAGAGAGGAAGAGTGTGTAGTCTGAAAACATGACACAAATGTGACCAGTGTACAGTGACTTAGGTAGTCGGGGGTGGAGTCCCTACATATTCTCTGAATTGCAGTTACACAGTGAGTTCCCAGGAAACAAATGGAATAGAAAAGGTGACACAAAATATACTACCATAAATGGGGTGAGCATAGCAGGTTCACAACCACAAATGTAAGCAGGAGACTCAAATCACCAGGAGCACCTAGATCTGTGAACAGCAGCTTGTGGTGGCATCAGGTTCAACTTTCTGAGACCACCGGTGTGGGCAGTGTCTTTGCAGGCACATACTCGGCAGCAGTGTATCTGAAGACAGATCTCAAGGCTCTTCTCTTCATTAATTATTAAGATGATAGATGATGGATACCCTCACGTTACAACATCCCCACTAACGCTGTGGACAAGTGAATTCAGAAACCCCCACCTAAATACACAGTGAAGAGTAGGATGAGAATACTGCAGGATAGGTTAGGAATGCAGGCATTCGACCCCATAGAGTCTATTTAAAATAAGAGAAGGGCCCTAGTATTGTGCTGTGGTCCTCCTATATATAGTTCTTTATTTTTCCAATTTCATAAAGGCCATACAGTTTTTCTTCCTTTCTTCACAAATGTGCTGATGAACCCATGAGTAATTCATCCTGAAGGGGTTAATTCCTCATAAAGTACAGTAACGTGATTCAATTGCTATGATGAGGTTTTTCAGGATTTTTTTATAGTGTCCCATACTCACCGATCACAAGTGAAAATTATAAGAACATGTAATTTGAACAAAGTATTCTTTTCACATAGAGAAATACACAGGTTTGTACAGATTAGATGCATCATCAAAGTTGGTAACATCTGGGAACAAAAGGAACTATCCTGAGGACATAAGGAACTTAGGAACGTCGATTATTAAGAGGCTACCTGCAAGTGGAACTTCTGGGTTTTCATTGTCTAGACAGAAAAATTTAACTGATAAGCCCCAGTATATTAAGGTACATCCCCAACGGCTGTGGGGGATCAACTTTCCATCCAAAGCAGAGATGTAAAACATGAATGACTTCAAATGCGGCTCAAGTGCTCTGCACCTTGAAAGTCATCCCCACAAAGCTGGAGCACCACCTGTTCCTGAGGGATGAGGTCACCAACTGCTTTTTTGAGACACTCGTCAGTCAGGACTCAGTTGAGATGAGGCTGGTGATTTCAACTGTAAAATATCTAAACCATCGTCTTTAGGTAGATTCTTATGCCTGGGAATTGTGGTTTTCTCCTCTGCTGTTAGCAGATCCTGAGTAACCCAAGAAATACCCGCTCTCACCCGTCAAGTTCTATATCACAAGAAAGGCGCTGCAGACGGTGACATTTTCACGAAGGAGCCACAGCCCGCATCACCCCCTGAAAGCTCTGAAGTTGCGCACGGGTGGGTCACGCAGCAGGTGGATGTCTCAGTTCCCATAGAGTTTAGCAGAGCAGGCGGCTCCCTGGGCTGGAAGAGGTGCGATGCTCTGGAAACCCCCCGCGGGTGTGTATGTGAGAGGACACCGAGATGTTCAGCGGGCTGTTCAGTGAGGACCAGACCCCTCCGATTTGAGCAAGGGAGGTGCACTTCGCAGGGTCACACCGTCCTCATCGCCCAGCCTAGACCTGCCCCTCAAGTCCTTCTGCGGACTCCCTTGGCGAGGGGGTGGCACAGAATCAGCATGTGGCATCGCTTAGGAAAGGACGAGGTCCACACCGCCCTGTCCCTCCCTCCAGGGCTGCGCACCACGGGGGAGGACAGACAGCGCATGCTGGTTTTGTAGTTAGCAGGTCGGCGACCAATGGGCTGGAAACCGTTAAGACACCAAAACTCCCAGCACTCCTAGCTAGGGACGCGCCTCCCTATCCTTCGTTTCCATACTACACACCGCCCCCAAACCCAGCGCATGCTGAGATTGTAGTCCGTTAGCCTCGCGACCAATGGGCTGGAAATACTGAAAGGACTATGACTCCCAGGATGCCTTGCGAGGTACCCGCCGTCCCGATCCTTCCTCTAGGGCTGCGCACCGCCCCCAAGCCCAACGCATGCTGGGATTGTAGTCAGGTAATCCTGGGACCAACTGACTGGAAACTGTTAAGAGACCATAACTCCCAGCACGCCTGGCTAAGGACGCACCTCCCTATCCTTCCCTTCAGTGCTACACACCGCCTCGAAGCCCGGTGGCTGCTGGGATTTTAGTCTGCAGGCCGGGGGCCATCGCTGGAAACCATTAAGAGACCATAACTCCCAGCATCCCTGGCCAGGGACGCGCCTCTCTATCCTTCCCTCCAGCGTTACACACCGCCCCAATCCCGGTGCATGCTGGCATTGTAGTTCGGTAGCCTTGCGATCAACGTGCTGGAAACTGTTTAAGGACTATGACTCCCAGGACGCCTTGCGAGGGACCCACCCTGTTGACCCTTCCTCCAGGGCTGGGAACCTCCCTTAAGCCCAGCGCATGCTGGGATCATAGTCCGACTGCCGCGACAGAAAGGCTGGGAGTGGATCTGAGACTACAGTTCCAACACTACGGGGAAAATTTCATCTTCTCTGAGACTACAGTTCCAACACTGAGGGGATAATTTCATCTTCTCCTCCGCCCCTCCATGTTTCCAGTGCAATTCCGCCCTGCTGAGGGGAGCCTATCTGTTCCCAAACTTCTGCGTGCGAGGAGACAGCGTGGCCAGGGCAGGTGGTCTCACTTGTAATTGTGACACAGTCTCCCCACGTGCCACTTGTACGACTATTTGTCCCTGAAGTTTGATTTCTCTCTGACAAGACAGAGCCCGGGAGCCTCCAACAGCCTGCCCAGCGTTGCCGTAAAGCTTGCTCTCGGGGACCTGGGCGCGCCCAGACCTTTGCAGGGCCCCTCCCTCAGCCCCGACCCTTCTCCTCGCCCCTCCCCTGCCACGCCCCTTTCGACATGCTGGAAAGTCATCTACCTTTAATAACAGTCATCTTTGCAAAAAAAAAAAAAAAAACTCTGAGAATAACCTATCTCCCATTCTATTTAGTATTTATTTCCATAGTATCCATAAATAGTAGCAATTAGATATCACAGCAAGTCAAGCAAAAGCCCTGCTTTGCCTGTTTCATAAACCACGATATGGCCTTGCTGTGGTTTTATTTGTATTTTGTTTTGTATTTATTGACCTTTTGGATATAAATATTTAGGTATTTGGACAGTTTTTGGAAGTATTCCGCTATTAGTTGTTGATTTACTTTTGTTCCCTATTTAATATTTTTTGTCTCTCCCTTCTCCTTAGACTCAGTCATTCCACAGGTCTCGAGAGCTCTGTTCATTTCCTTTAAACTTTTTGTACTTTTTTTTTTCCAGACTGGATAATTTCTATTGCTGTGTCTTCTGTTTTAAATCTATGGCTAAACTCAAAAGATTTTTTTCATTTCCTTATCTATAATTTTTTTATATATATGTTCATTTCTCTGCTGAAGTTCCACATCTGTTTGTTTATGAATAGAATATTTTCTTTTTTCCCCATGAACATATTCATAAAAACTGCCTTCAAATTCTTGTCTGCTGATTGCAACATCCTGGGATAGCTTCTACTGCCTGCTTTTGATATTGTGTATGGATGACATTTTCACGTTTCTTTACAAGTCTTATGAATTTTAAAATTGTGCACTAGAAACTATAAATGATAATTATAGAATAGAAACTCTGGATTTTGTTGTTTTACCTTGAAGACTTTTGTTTTATAAACAGGGTTCATTGGGCTAGTGTCAAACCAATGCTTGTGTCCGCTACAGTGGGTATAGCTGAAATCTTCATTCAGTTGTTAAACACACATATCATATATGTATTATGCATAGGCGTTTTTCTATAATAATATATTTTATTCAAGTTTCATCATTGTTATTTGTGAGAGTTCAACAAGCTAGTCCACACTTAGTGGAAGTCAGAACCTCAGTTTTATTTGATTGTAGCATTTTATATAAAAAAATTATATAGTATGTATACTTGTACATCTGTTTTCTTTATTTCTTTTTCTGTTTTCTTTCTTTCTTTCCTTTTCTGTCTTCTTTCTTTCTCTCTTTCTTTCCTTCTTTCTTTCTCTCTTCTTTTTTCTTTCTTTCTTTTCCCCAGGTTGGTGTGCAGTGGCATGATCTCACTGCAACCTCTGCCTACCAGGCTTAAGATATCCTTCCACTTCAGCCTTTTGAGTCACTGGGACCGCAGCCTTGCACCACCATGCCCGGCTAATTGTTTTGTATTTTCGGTAGAGACAGGGTTTCACCATGTTGCCCAAACTGGCATGTCTGCTTTCTTTTATGCAACATTACATTTGTGATATTCACCCACCAGTTGCAAATAGCTATAGTCTGTTCATTTTAGAAAGTAGTTTTTACCTTTTAGTAAAATATAAAAATACATGAAATTAACCATTTTATTATTTTTTTTGTGTGCAGTTTAAAGAAATTAAATACATTCAGATTGTTTTGCAACCATTGTCCAAGTTCATAAGGAACTGTTTTTCAATCTTTTAAAAGTGAAACTCTGTACCCAGTAAACAACACTCCCCTTCCATTGCCCTTTGTGTAGTCCCTGGAAACTACTCTTCTACTTCGTGTTTCTATGAACTTAACTGCTGTAAATATCTCATATGAGTGGAAAGAGACAATATAACAAAAAAATCATGAGGAAGAATAATATATACTATATAACATATGTTTATCCATTTTAAGAAAAATGCTAGCAGAGATCAGGTCATGGTGATTATAGAGAAAGGTAGGTAACAGTGAAAAGGGGATTGGTTGCATTAAATTTACGACGTGATGCCTCAAGTGCCAGAGCAGTGAGCTTTCTGCCCCACTCGCAGGGCTGGTCAATGGTGTGGCTGGAACCCTACTCGAGCTGCCTGACTGCCAGAGCCCATGCTTAGTACAAACTTCAATGAGCCATGAAAGCAATTCCAACAACAGGCACTTAATGGCTCTGAGATTTTATCACAGCCTGTTCTTCATGGCTAGCAACTTCAGAGAAGAGTGACAGCTGTGAGGTTCCAGAAGCCACACCTCAGGTCCCCCAGTTCCTCCCCAGCAGCTGGAGTCCAGGTGCAACAGGACCTGATGCTGGCCAGGGAACCCTGGCCACAGGCTGTGTGAGGCTGGCGGCAAGACAGTCTCCCCTCCTACCCTCTGCTCATCTGCTAGGTCTTTGCCTTTTATTCTGATTGTGCTGCTCCAGGCTTGGAACCAAGCCCGAAATTCCTCTTGAGTCTGAAGATGATGATGGTTTCCAGCTGTGTGGAACTGCTGCATCTCCTGGAGGACTTTAATCTTCTGGAGACAGAGGGAAAGACAGGATGCTGACAGGGCCTGGGTGAAAGACTCTGTAGGGGCCTTATAAAAGAAGGGAGGAGGGCTGGTCTCTGAGGTGTTTCTTTTAAGGGGCTCTCACCTCCCCTCCAATATCATGCAGCCCTAACTGGTTCTCAGAGTTGAATGTAAACGGCTCTTCCTCTAGGAAGTTGTCATCAACTTCACTCCCCTGATTGCACCCTGCATTAGGATAGGTCTCCTCCTTCTCTGTGTATTACTCCCTTTCAATAAATCTTAGATGCGGAAGAAGGGACCAGGGAATGTCCTGCCCAGGGTGATTTCTCATTTCCACCTCCACCCTCCCTAAAAGTGAGGACTTCAGCTACTGCTCACCTTTCTGTTTTTCTGGGTTTTGATCACATTTCTCTGGAAGACAGAAAGCCAAAGACCATCAGAAAGGTCCGCTGGTCCATAACTAGCCTCCATTTCCAGCGATTTCCAAGCTTCACCACCACCAGAGCCACCAGGGTCAGGGAATGTGCACAAAAGAGGTCTTGCAGCTCTGCAGCTTCACTACTCAGGGAGTGGGACTGATGGCTGCTGTGGAGCCTCCATCACTCATGAGTAAAATACCCTGTTTACGGGATGGGGAGGGCTGCGAGGCCCTCGCAAAAAATTTTGGCAAGGACTGAGATCTAGGAGCTCAGTTCAAGACTCTCTTCTCCCAGGCCTCAGGATCCTGGTCCCTGACCTGTCTGCTCCAGGCTCACTCACATCCACACACTCCTTCATGGCAATGTCCAGCATCACCACATCAGTGAGGAATGTCCCCAGAGAGGGCATGACTTGGGAGGTGCCCACCCAAGTCCTGTCCGCTGAACTCTTATAAACCCCTGCCTCCTGGCGCCCTCTACCTAGGTTACCCACTTGGAGTAGCTGAGAACCCTCAGCTGCCTTTTCCCAATTCTCTATGTCTTCCCATTAGCTGGCCTCTATTGCCACCAACCTCACCATAATTACCTCCTTGGTGGGATTTTAACAAGCCACAAGGTCATGTGGTCCCTGGCTCCACCTGTTTTAAAAGCCACACGGAGCCCAGCTCTCCCAGGCCTTGCTCTGGTCTGTCTAATGAAGGTGTTTTAGGCACTGCAGCCCCAGGAGAAAAGGGCTGGAGTAGAAAGGCCCTCTGCTTTTTTGATTTGGAGGTTTCCAGCTGGGAGAAGTAAGCTCTGTTCTCTGAAACCCTGGAGCCCTTCCCCATCACAGGCACATTCACCTTCTGCTGTCACAGCCTCACCTAAGCTCTCTGGGGCTCCGCTACAGGGTAGACAACTTGTACGGTGTTCACCTGCTAGGATGAGGGACAAGGTCAGTGAAAATATGCTTCTTTCAGTTACGCCTCAGCCACACTAACCTTGGACACGGATAAGTGGCCTGAGTCAGCTTGTCCAATGCTCTGACCATCTCCAGTGAGCTCTGACTCTAGACTCACTCCCACGTCCAACACTCCCTGGATGTGTCATTTTGGGCATGCAGTTGGGTTTCCCTGAGCTGTTTCCTCAACTGGAAAGTGTGGTGGGAACCAACTACCTCACAAGGCCTCTTACCACCTCGGTTTCATGTGGTTGTCATGATTGCTGTCACCATCATCCCTCTCAGGATGAGCCAGACACAAGCACCCTCAGATTCTCTGTCTCCCTGAGCCCCATCACCACCTTGTGAGGCCTGCCCAACAGGCTCATCATTCCTAAATTTTCCACATAAGAAAACAGAGGCCCAAAGCGGCAATGACATGCCAAGGACCCCACAAGAGAGGCCAGCTCCTCCCTCAACCTGGAGGGACTGTCCCGGCTGCCTTCACCTAACACCCTAGCATCATCACTGACCAGCATTCCATCTTCTAAACTCTATGAGTGACAATATTCCCAGCCAGGCCCTGTGGCAGTGGACATGGTTCTGAGAATTGGGAATCTAATGTGGAGGAAAAGTTAAATATTTAATATGAACTCAATTGAACATGGGCACAAACAATGGTCACGAAGTCCTGGAACAGGTTGCATGAGCCCCTTGAGGTGTTCATCCAGCGCTGTTTCAGAGAAATCTTTCAATCCATTCCTATACATTAGTTATTGAAAAAACAACAGACAATTGCAAAAACAAGTTGATCTTTTGTGTTCCTTGAGCCCAGTTGTGAAGGGCACCTGTGACTGCGCCTCATGCCAAACAACACATTACAAAAAGAGCTAGGGTCCCAGACTGTGCTGAAGTTTCATGAGACCTCTCCTCATCTGTGCATGGACACGTGGCTGACTCTGGAGCCCAGGCTGTTGCTTCCCAGTCTGGTAATGAATCCTCCATAGTCTGGTGCGTGTAAATATACATATATATATTTTCTTTCTGTCCTTCCCATTGCAATTTGCTTATTATATTATTTGCTTATCAAGTCTGTATTGCCATACACTTGGGATAAAGGCTATTTATCCTTAAAACTATTGTGGGTGCCTTTTCTTTTCCCCTCGTTCATTTCCCGCACCGGAGCCCAGGTGATGGAATCTCGAAGTGACCTCACTTCCTTAGTTACAAACTCAAAGAAAGTTTAGAACTCTGGTAACCTGGAGCCCTAATTCTAGAGACAGCTTTGTATTTACTAAGGAGACTCTGAAGACAGCAAGATGTTCTCCTGCTATGTCTTGAATTTCTGAGGCTCTCATCTCAGGAAGGCTTGAACAGAGAGACTTTTTTTTATGATGGAGACAGTGCTCATTCTGCACTGCTGGCTCTTCTGGCCATTTGGAAAGGGTTACCCATAGATAACACAAGGCCACCCATGGCAGGCCTATCCAGGCCAGGCCTCACCTTTGATATCATCTCGGCAGGCACACACCCCTCCTCATCTCCACGTCTCGTGGGAAAGAAAGAGATAATGGGTCCTTTCTTGACAGGAGCAGGTTTCCAGGTATTGGGAGGCTAAAAGCCTGTCAAATTTATACCGCAGGTTACAGTTGGCAGGAGGGGAAGGTGAGTGCTGGGGGTCACCTTTGTTTGTTCAGACATTTATTCTAAGGCTTCAAGCTGTCCTCTTGTTTTCTCCCTGGCTGGAGGTCTGCGCAAATGCTCCTATGTGCCTGATCTGGGGAGTAGACTTTCTAACTGGAATTTCCCCTGTGGGGAAAGCCAGGATGCCATTGATGCCTCTTGGCCAGGCTTCCAGGCACTCTCTTTGCAGAACTCTATTGAGGAGATCCCTGAGGAGCTGTTTGATGAGTCCAACTACTCCATCTCATTGAACAAAAGGCAGGTGCATCATGCCAACAACCATGGCCCGTGCTAGTCTGGAGTCAAGGTGGGCACAGAGAGGTCTCCAAATGGAAAAGACCAGGGAAGCCCAGGACCCTGACCCAAATGTGAGGATTCCCCAGAAACCGTTTTAGGGCTTTCTCCATTAAGGACCCACAGTTCCTTCCCAGAGGAATTTGGCCTCCATTAGTCCATAATGGCAACTTAGGTGCACAGTCCCCGGTCATATGCTTGCAGGAATGTCAAAAGAAACACTTTTGTGTTGTTATTACTTTACATTAAGTTGTGAGTATCTTTGCATTTTGCTATTATTTTTATTGTTATATCTACCTACCCCACATACTTCCTGGAGCAGGCAGCTTCGCTGCCTTGCCAGACCTTCTCTAAGTCTTAGAAGTTCACACTGTTACTAGAGAGAGGTTTCACCCAAAAAGTGGGAGTTATGCAAAAGGGTCTTATATGACTCTTTACATACGTGTCCCAGAGCCCACCTCTATAGCCCCATCAGGACAGGAGCTGTGTCCTCATATGTCTTTATAAGATTCCATAAGTGGGGCCTTTCCCTCAGTAATTTAGGCTTTTAATACTGGTGGAGCCTGACACAATAAATTCTATTTCCACTTCAGGCATGCTACAGGGAATATCTTTTTTTTTTTTTTTTTTTTTTTTTGAGACGGAGTCTCGCTCTGTCGCCCAGGTGGGAGTGCAGTGGTGCAGTCTCGGCTCACTGCACTCTGCCTCCTGGGTTCACGCCATCTTCCTGCTTCAGCCTCCTGAGTAGCTGGGACTACAGGCGCCTGTCACCACGCCCGGCTAATTTTTTTTCTCTGTGTGTGTGTGGTTTTTTTTTTAGTAGAGACAGAGTTTCACCGTGTTAGCTAGGATGGTCTCGATCTCCTGACCTCGTGATCCACTCGCCTCGGCCTCCCAAAGTGCTAGGATTACAGGTGTAAGCCACCGCGCCCAGCCGCTACAGGGAACATCTTATCTGTGTCCTAATAGGCTGTAACGCTTTGCTATGACTTCCCTAATACAGTACCACAGGCTGAAGTTCTTTAACAACAAAAACTGAATGTCGCACAATTCTGGAAGTTAGAAATCCAACCTCAAGCTACTGGCTGTGTGGTTTCTCTGAAGTCTCCATCCTTGGCTTGTAGATCGTCATCTACTATATCTGTGTTCACAAGATCTTCTCTTGTGCTTTTCTGTCCTTCCTGCCTCTTCTAATAAGGGCTCCAGTCATCTGGAATTAGGATACACCCCAATTAATTCACTTAAACCTAACTACATTTGCAGAGGCTATATGTTCAAATATAGTCATGTTCTGAGGCACTAGGTGTTAGGACATGAACATATAATTTTTAGGAAGGGAATGCAATCTAGCTCACAACATTTACTAATCCCTTGTAGATTATAGTCTCCCAGGAAAATGATTACTCAGTGAAACAGTAGGAAAGTGTAAAGGTTTAATAGGAGAAGCCGGAATATATTCCAAAAGGGTTGTGAAAGCCGTACTGTAAATAGTAGTTTCTGAATTTATCTGCTTTTATGTATCCAGAACCTCTTGGTTGTCAACATTCTTTTAATTTTTTTGTCAATCTGCTATCTATGTGGCAAAAAAACATGTTTCTATTTCAATTTTTCAACTGATATATTTGAGTTACCTTTCAGTTGATTTATACTTATTTGAGTTTTCTGTTCCCTCAGTTAATCCGCTCAATTCCTTGGCCCTGTGAGGGGTTTCTCTCACCTTGGAGTCCCCAAGCACTGACACCTTTGTCAGGTGTGGGGTTGCTGTAGTTATTTCTCAACACTCCCTTTAAGGTTTTAAAAGACCCAGTTCAGTTGCTTTAAGTCAAAAGGGTTGTCTTAGGGTATCTTATCCTGTGCCCTGTCTCTAAAACAGAAAGAAAGTGAGCCTTCCCCATGCCCTTCCCCCTAAGTCAGGGACAGACATAGAGCCTCAGGTAGCTTAAAGGGAATTTCATGCAACCCCCACCGTGGAAGATTCTCTTTCTTACTTGTGTTTTTCTGAGCAGCCATTTGACATCACAAAGCTTTATTTTCTCATTTGTAGGCTGAGTATGTTTTTTTGGGAATTCTCTGGGATAATGCTCTTCATAAAGATTATTAATACAAGTGGGTGCTGTTGTCTTACAGCTGATATGATATCGTGAAGGCCTTGAATGTATTCATGGATTAATTATTCTCTACCTCCACATTAAATTTGATATCAGAGGCCTAAAACCTTTTTCACCATAAACACCCATGTCCTCCACATGCCCAAGTCTCTGAAGGATGGAGATTTCCTCATCCAAGCTCCACATTCCAAGCCTCTGGTGTTTCATGGTCTTGCCATGAAAAGTCTTGTCCCCTCCCCAAGAGGAAATGAGTCTATTCTTAACCTAGAGGTGTGAATGATGCCAATGCGCCAAACCAGGCACAACGGAGAAGCTGACGAAGTCCCTGACAGCAGCCTTCCAGGGTCAAACTCTCTTCTTTTTATCATTTTTCTCAAGTTTTACCAGGACTTCCTCACCACTCTGTAGTTCCTGGACCAGCTGTCTAGTAGTTGAGCATATGTCTTCTCCAAGGCACAGTGGTGACTCTGCCAGCTACTAACTGTGTCTTAGCATACCAGTGCATCTTTATCAGCCTCAATTTGCATCTTTATAGAGAATTGTAAAATGAACCTCTGTTCTGTACGAGAGACATGCAAGGGGAGAAGAAAACACACCCAAAAAAACCTTTAAGGGTAAACAAGCTTTATCTGACGTAAATGGCAGTGCAGCTATAATAAGCAAATTGCAATGGGAAGGGGAGAAGGGAAACATATATACATATTTACGCCCACCAGACAGCGGAGGATTCATTACCAGACCGGGAAGCAACAGCCTCGACTCCAGAGTAGGTCACCCATCCCTGCACAGACAAGAAGAGGTCTTAGGAAGTTTCAGCGTGGCCTAGAGCCCTAGTTCTTTTTGTAATGAGTTGTTTGGCATGAGGCCCAGTCACGAGGGCTCTTCACAACTGGGCTCAAGGAACTGGAAAAGGTTATCTTGTTTTTGCAATTGTCTGTGGTTTTTCAATAACTAACACATAGGAATAGATTGAAATAGATATTTCTTCAAAACAGTGCCAGATGAATGCTTCAAGCGGCTCATGCAACCTGTCTGAGACTTAATGACCATTGCTTTTGTCCATGTTCAATTGAATTCAAATTTAATATTTAACTTTCCCCCACAACCTTATATGTTTTTTGTGAGAAATGAATGGCATACAATATGAAAAGTGGTTTCCTAATGCTCGGCTTTGTGGAAAGCCTGCTGGGGCATGCTCTGATTGTTCGTATTTATTACTTTTTTCTCTTCTTTCACCCCAGAAGGTCTTTCATGTCACAGTGACTCATGTCCCTCTATAATTGGACAATCATATAGAAAACAAACATGTTCTTACATTTGTAAAGGGCACTTGAGCTTCCTGTTAGCTGGACTTTGTCCTTGAAACAGAGAGATCCTGTAGGAAAGAGTCCCCAGGCACACTCAGACATAGCTAAAAAGGTTGTAGTTAGGGCTTATTTATTCATCACATATATATAACGCAGTTTTCCAGACACTTGGCCTAATTCAGTGAAGACAACAGATGACAGTTCCTGGGCCACAATTTACTTCAGGGAGTCAGACACTCAGAGTGGACATTATAAGCAGGTCATGATCACAGAATGTGAGAACTGATGTTCTCATGCTCTCCTCTAGGAATGGATGCACCTGTCAGCTTCTGATCAGAACGACAGACCCAGGATCAAACATAACATTTAAATAGACGAATAAAACTTTTTTCCAAAAAGGAACATCGCTTTATGATAAAAACTCTCAACAAATTAGGTGTAAAGTAAATTCACTTCAAAGCATTAAAGGCCATGTATTACAAATGAATAGCTGGGCGGGCAGATCTGCCATAAGGCAAGGGCATCCGCTTCCCTAGATACATATCCAGGGGCACAGAGAATGAGCAGTTCCAGGGTTGTGTCTCACATGGGGTCCTCTCCAGGTCGGTTTCAAGAGGACAGGACTGGGGTTCTGTATCCACTTCTGTGGAGAGCTGGAAGTAAAATGAGCTATGCTCCACCTCAGCCTAATGTAGACAATGGCTACAGAGAAGACTGTTTTCTTCCTCATAAATAGGGGTGCTCGAAGTGGGTAACCTTGATTGTTTCACATACTCATAAGTGTCTGCCAGCCTTGATTCTTCATTGGTGAACTAAGACTCTTTGCTCTGAAACTCTGCAGAAATGCTTCTACTCCCTGGAGGCCCTTCAAATCAGAGAGAGGCATGGCCACTCCAGAGGCATTTTGGGTAGATAAAGATGGGATAGAGCTAAACGTGTCAGAACACTGGACCCTGAGTCTGAAGTCATGGGAAAATGCCAGTTCCTGTTGGGTTTTTGAGCTCCTCATTTGAAAGTCGTATTAAATAATTTCCCTGGATAAGGGGAGGGTGCCTCATGAGTAAATGGCACACTCCAAATGGTGGAGGCAAAGAGAGGGCAATGGAGGATTCCAAGGTCACTCAGTGTACTTGGAGCCTTCAGATTCTGCTCCTTTGTCCTCTGGAACTCCAAAGAGTCAGTGTCTTGAGGACACAAAACAATGGTACCTGATTTGTTCCATAATGTTCCTGCATGGGGCTGCAGTGTTAGTGATGGCCTGGAGGTGGTTACAGCCTGCTGTGTTTCTGGTGCCTATTGAGCTTTGCTGGAGCAGCTGGAGCAAGTAAGAGTCACACACCTCATGTTATTATCAACAATTTCCACATTGCCCACTTAGCCAATCTTTTTTCCCTTGCACTCACCCTTTGCCAGCTACCCTGGTGGGTCCAACATGTGGCACAGAAAATGATTACATCATGCCTGCATACCCCTCCAAGGACAGAACAGTCTGAAGTCAGCTCGACAAAAGCACTAAAGCAAGTATATATAAAAGAAAAGAGCAAGGACTATTATATAAAGTAGAATGTTGAGAAGAAGAGCTGCAAAGTCATTGAATGGGGGGACCCAAAGTCCTCACTGAGGTGATCTTTAATCCATGATGAGAATGATAACAGGGAGGCATCTCTGCACAAGAATGTGTCAGTGAGAAGCCACCCTTGGTGAAGAGTCTTACAGGTGTGAGTTTGGCAGAGATTAGAAAGGGACCAATTTGGTACAGACAGCCTGAGGAAGAGATAAGCAGAGGCATGGAGAATCCTGGGGCTTGGGAGATGAGGCTAGATATCTGCTCCTTTCTGACAACATTGCCCTAAAACTTAGCACCTTTCAATAGTATATAGTATCTCACAATTTGTGTGGACCAGAATCTGGACACAGTTTAGTTAGCTGCCTCTGCCTTCCGGTCTCTTATGAGATTGGGGCTGTGGTCTCAACTGAATGTGGACCGGAAAAGCATCAACCTTTAAGCTCATGCTTGTGAAAATTGGCAGGGTTCAGGGTAGACTGAGAGCATGACTTTACTTCTGTCTACTGCCTGAGCACTCCCTCCGTTCTTTGTTATGTGCGTCTGTACATAGAGCATCTCATAGCATTGGAGCTTGCTTCCTCTGTTTGAGGAATACAATTGAGAGACAGAATTAGGCAAACAGTTTCACACAAAGAGACATAAAGAAATGGAAAGACTGAGGAAGCAAATAGGAAAAACCCAGTAGGAGGAATAATGACAGCTTTAAAAAAACTTGAGAGTTACAATAATTTGTATTAAAATTGTAACCCCCAGTGTAATGCTATAAGGAGATAGGTTGTAATTAACTCCTGAGGTTGAGGCCATCATGATTGAGATTACTGGCTTTATACAGGAAACCCCAGAGGGATGTCTGTCTCCTTCTACCAAATGAGAATAAAATTTGATGTGTGCAGTCTGAAATTCAGAAGAGTCATCACCAGAGCTCAACCATGCTGATACCCTGATCTCAAATTTCCAACCTCTAGGAGTGTGAGAAATTAAATCCTGTTGTCTATAAGCTGTCTAGTTCATGGTTCTTTGGTATAGCAGCCTGAACTAATACAAAAGTCATACACTATTCTGTATTCCATTTGACAGAAGCTGAATTTGTGCCTTCAAACTGTTAAAAAAAAAAGACTTAAAAATTGGATATTCAGAATGAAAGATAAGAAACAGCTTGTTGAAACACTTAAATCTCCTCTGCTTATAAGATTTTAAAAAATTGGCTGAAATATGTTGGAAGCAATATGGCCAACTGAAGTCCATGGAGAATGAGTTTGCTGATGTTAGAGCCCAAATTTCCGTTGCATGTTTCATATTAACTCTCCCTGAATATTCATGTGACCTGTGAGGAAACAAGAGGAGATGACTGTGCATGTCTCATGACTTTCCATATTACTACTTTCCTTCCAGCAATCCCCTCCTAATCCAGAGCCCACTTCTTAAGCATTTTTTAATCAACACCTTAAAGCCTATATAAGGAAACTGATTTCAGCTGGACTCCTGTCTCCTGTTGGCCAACCTACAACAAGATGCCATTTTTCTCAAAACCCAAGTGCCATACTACTGGCATCGAGCAGTAGGTCATTTTGTTCAATAACAAACTGAGTCACTAACCACCTAGTGCTGGGAGACTTTGTGAAGGCTTTCCCCAACTTAGGTGAGATAAGGCACATGGATATAATTCTATATATAATAAGAAGTCACTAGAAAGTTTAATAGTTGTATTAGTCCATTTTTATACCGCAATGATGGAATACCTGGGACTGGGTAATTTATAAAGAAAAGAGGTTTAATTGACTCACAGTTCCACAAGATTGGGTGGGGGAGGCTCAGAAACCTTCCAATTATGGTGGCCAACAAGTGAAGTGAGTGAGAGCAGGGGATACACCAGAAGCTTATGAAACCATCAGATCTCTTGAGAACTCACTCACTATCACAAGAACAGCATAAGAAAAACCCGTCCCCATAATCCAATCAACTCCCCTCAGGTTTCTCCCTTAACACCTGGAGGTTATAATACAAAATGAGGTTTGGGTGGGGACACACAGCTAAACCACATCAGTGCCAGAGGATGATATCTACATTTAATTTCAACCTCGTACTGCAGCAGAATGAAACTGAAGCCCAGTGGGGAAGTGACTTTCCCAAGATTACACTGCTGGACCCCAGGCCTACCTGAGTTGTGGCCCATGCTACCTCCCACCTATTCTCCTAATGCTTCCATCTCTAAGTGTGTGCATTATTTACATGTGAAACTACACCACGATTTTTACATTTTATCTTATATACATCTGATACATTCCCTAGGAAGTAGATAACATTATCCCCACTGTGCACGCTAGGAGGCTGGGGAAGCCTCAAATACACAGTGACTTTTATTAGGTCCCAGAGATGGTAAGAAAAACAAGGTTATTTTCCAGCTGTCTCTTATATCCTGGAACCCAGGATGCATTTAGGTCTTTCCAGGGAATTAAGGGGAAGTTGTGTTTGCATAATTGTGTACAAATAAAGAGTTGACATGGAAGAGGAGACTGAGCAATCAATAGCATAGTGGGGCCTTTGGGTAGGTCTTATAGAAATAAGGGGCCCAGTAGATGGAACCTTGAAGAGTTTAACACACTTTCCTGGTGACAGAACCCCACAGCAGTTAAGAAACCAGGAACCCACATTCTTGAGACAGCTCTGTATCCACCTCTGTTGGTGACAGATGCTCAAGAGAGTGAGATGTCCTTTCATTGTGCCTTGATATTTCTGAGTTCTAGCCTTACAAAGCCTCAATGTAAAAGCCTTCTCTGATAACACAGATATCAACTCAGCCCTCATTCCTGATACCCCTGGCCATTGGCCAAGTGCACCTACAGATAACACAGAGCAGCCCAGGACATGTCCATCGAGGCCAGGCCTCTCTCATCATCTCATCTGGGCAGCCCCACGCCACTTCTTTGTACCATGAGTTGCAGGATGGACAAAAGAGAGGGCACTCTTCTTGGGCAGAAGCCGATTGTCAGGTGTTGGAACTCTTGTGTGTCTGTTATGTTCATATTCAGGTCAGAGCTGGCAGAATAAAAATAAGAGAGTTGGGGACTGAGTCTGTATACTCAGATGTGAATAGCAAGACTCTAACCTGATCTCTGGTTTCCTTCCTTGCTGGAGATTTATTTATGTATTTATACTTTAAATTCTGGGATACATGTGCAGAATGTGCAGACTTGTTACATAGTTTTATATTTGCCATGGTGGTTTGCTGCATCTATCAAACTGTCAGCTAGGTTTTAAGCCCCACATATATTAGATATTTGTCCTAATGCTCTCCTTCACTTTGCCCCCTGACAAGCCCTGATGTGTGATGTTCCCCTCCCTGTGTCCATGTGTTTTCATTGTTCAAATTTCACTTATGAGTGAGAACATGTGGTGTTTGGTTTTCCGTTCCTGTTAGTTTGCTGAGAATGATGGCTTCCAGCTTCCTCCATATCCCTGCAATCTGAGGTCTCTGTTCTGTTCCATCGGTCTATATATCTGTTTTGGTACCAGTGTGACTTCCTCTCTTCCTATTTGCATACCCTTTATTTCTTTCACTTGCCTGATTACCCTGGCCAGAACTTCCAATACTATCTTGAATAGGAGTGCTGAGGGAGGACATCCTAGTCTTGTGCTGGTTTTCAAAGGGAATGCTTCCGGCACTTGCCTATTAAGTATGATATTGGCTAGGGGTTTGTCATAAACAGCTCTGATTATTTCGAGACTTTTTCCGTCAATACGTAGTTTATTTAGAGGTTTTAACATGAAGCGATATTAAATTTAATCAAAGGCCTTTTGTGCATCTATTGAGAAAATCCTGTGGTTTCTGTCATTGGTTCTGTTTATGTGATGGATTACATTTATTAATTTGCATACGTTGAACCAGCCTTGAATCCCAGGGATGAAGCTGATGTGATCATGGTGGATAACATTTTCGATGTGCTGCTGGTTTCAGTTTGCCAGTATTTTATTGAGGATTTTTACATCGATGTTCATCAGGGATATTGGCCTGAAATTTTTGTTGCGGTTGTGTCTTTGCGAGATTTTGGTATCAGAATGATGCTGACCTCATAAAATGAATTAGGGAGGAGTCCCTCCTTTTCAATTGTTTGGAATAGTTTAAGAAGAAATGTTACCAGCTGCTCTTTACGCTTCTGGTAAAATTCGGCTGTGAATCCATCTGGTTCTGAGCGTTTTTTTATTGGTAGGCTATTAATTACTGCCTCAATTTCAGAACTTGTTATTGGTCTACTCAGGGGTTCAACTTCTTCCTGGCTTAGTCTTGGGAAAGTGTATGTGTCCAGAAATGTATCCATTTCTTCTATATTTTCTAGTTTATTTGTGTGGAGATGTCTATAGTATTCTCTCATGGTAGTTTTTATTTCTGTGGAATCAGTGGTGATATCCTGTTTATCATTTTTTAATGTGTCTATTTGATTCTTCTCTCTTTTCTTCTTTATTAATCTAGCTAGTGGTCCATCTCTTTTGTTAATCTTTTCAAAAAACCAGCTAGTGGAGTCATTGATTTTGAACAGTTTTTCTTGTCTCTATCTCCTTCAGTTCTGCTCTGATCTTAGTTGTTTCTTTCCTTCAGCTAGTTTTTGAATTTGTTTCCTCTTGATTCTCTAGTTGTTTTAATTGTGATGTTAGGGTGTCGATTTCAGATCATTCCAGCTTTCTGTTGTGGGCATTTAGTGCTAGCATATCCCCTCTTAAAACTGCTTTAGCTGTGTCCAAGAGATTCTGGTACATTGTCTCTTTGTTCTCATTTGTTTCAAAAAAACTTAATTTCTCTCTTAATTTTGTCATTTACTCAGTAGTCGTTCAGGAGCAGGTTGCTCAATTTCCATGTATTTATGTGGTTTTTGGTGAGTTTCTTAATCCTGAGTTCTGATTTGGTTGCACTGTGGTCTGAGAGACAGTTTGTTATGGTTGCCATTCTTTTCCATTTGTTGAGGAGTGTTTTGCTTCCAATTATGTGGTCAATTTTAGAATATGTGCTACGTGGCATGGAGAAGAATGTATATTCTGTTCGTCTGGCATGGAGAGTTCTGTAGTTGTCTATTAGGTCCGCTTAGTCCAGAGCTGATTTCAAACCCTGAATATCCTTGTTAATTTTCTGTCTCATTGATCTGTCTAATATTGGCAGTGGGGTGTTAAAACTTCCCAGTGTTATTGTGTGGGAGTCTACGTCTCTTTATAGGTCTCTAAGAACTTGTTTTATGAATCTCAGTGCTCCTCTGTTGGGTAGGTATATATATAGGATAGTTAGCTCTTCTTGTTGCATTGATCCCTTAACCTTTATGTAGTGCCCTTCTTTGTCTTTTTTCATCTTGGTTTAAAGTCTGTTTTACAAGAAACTAGGATTGAAACCTTGCTTTTTTTTTTGTTGTTGTTGCTTTTTTTGCTTTCCATTTGCCATTTCTCCTTCCCTTTATTTTGAGCCTATGTGTGTCTTTGCATGTGAGATGTGTCTCCTGAATACAGCACACCAAAGAGTCTTGACTGTTTAACCAATTTGCCAGGCTCTGTCTCTTAATTGAGGTATTTAGCCCATTTATATTTATGGTTAATATTGTTGTGTGTGAATTTGATCCTGTTATCATGATGCTAGCTGGTTATTTTGCACATTCGTTGATGCAGTTTTTTCATAGTATCGATTGGTCTTTATATTTTGGTGTGGTTTTGCAGTGGTGAACCATATTTTCCTTTCCATATTTAGTGTTTCCTTCAGGAGCTTTTGTAAGGCATGCCTGGTGGTGACATAATCCCTCAGCATTTGCTTGTCTGTGAAGGACTTTATTTCCCCTTTGCTTTTGAAGATTAGTTTGGCTGGATATGAAATTCTGAGTTGAAAATTATTTTATTTAAAAATGTTGAATATTGGCCCCCACTCTCTTCTGGCTTGTAGAGTTTCTGCAAAGAGATCTGCTGTTAGTCTGATGGGCCTCCATTTGTAGGTAACCTGACTTCTCTCTCTGTCTGCCCTTAACATTATTTCCTTCATTTCAACCTTGGAGACTCTGGCGATTATGTGTCTTGGAGTTGCTCTTCTCGAGGAGCATCTTAGTGATGTTCTCTGTATTTTCTGAATTTGAATGTTGGCCTGTCTTGCTAGGTTGAGGAAGTTCTCCTGGATAATATCCTAAAGTTTGTTTTCTAGCTTGGATCCATTCTTCCTGTCACTTTGAGGTGTACCAATCAATCGTAGGTTTGGTCTTTTCAAATAGTCCCATATAACTTAAAGGCATTGTTTAGCTCCATCAGGCCATTTATGTTTCTCTCTAAGCTGGTTATTCTAGTTAGCAGTTCCCATAACCTTTTATCAAGATACTTAGCTTCTTCGCATTGGGTTAGAACATGCTTCTTTAGCTCAGAGGAGTTTATTATTACCCACCTTCTGAAGCCTACTTCTGTCAATTCTTCAATCTCATTCTCCATCCAGTTTTGTGTCATTACTGGAGAGGTGTTGTGATCATTGGAGGAGAAAAGGCATTCTTGTTTCTGGAATTTTTGGCATTTTTGTGCCGGTTTTTCCTCATCTTCATGGATTTATCTACTTTCAATCTTTGGGGCTGATGACATTTGGATGGGGTTTTTTTTGGGGGGGTCCTTTCTGTTGATGTTGATGTTGTTGCTTTCTGCTTGTTAGTTTTTCTTCTAACAGCAAGGTTCTTCTGCAGGTCCAGTGCAGTTTGCTGGAGTTCCAATCCAGACCCTGTTCACCTGGGTGTCACCAGTAAAGGCTGCAGAACAGCAAAGATTGCTGCCTTCTCCTTCTTCTGGAAACTTCATCCCAGGAGGATACCCGCCCAATGCCAAATGGAGCCCTTTTGTATGAGGTGTCTGTCAACCCCTGTTAGGAGGTTTCTCCCAGTCAGGAGTCACGGGGAACCCACTTGAGGAGACAGTCTCTTAGCAGAGCTGGTGCACTATGCTGGCAGAATCCCTCTAGTCAAAATCAGCTGCTCTCTTCAGAGCCGGCAGGTAGGAATGATGAAATCCACTGAAGCTGCACCCACAGCCTCCCCTTCCCCCATGTGCTCTGTCCCAGGGAGATGGAGGTTTTCTGTGTAAGCCTCTGACTAGGGCTGTTACCTTTCCTTCAAATATGCCCTGCCCAATGAGGAGGACTCTAAAGAAGCAGTCTGCCACAGCCACTTTGCTGCACCCAACCCGGACCTTCCAGCCTCCTTGGCACTGTCAGGGGAAAACTGTCTACTAAAGCCTCAGTAATGGTGGACTCCACTCCCCCCAACTGAGCTCAGTTGGCCCAGGTCAACTTCAGACTGCTGTGCTGGCAGCGAGAATTTCAGGATGAGGAACACATTAGCTGTTTGTGATTTTCATGTCTGTTGCAGGGATTTGACCCATTGTTAGTGCTAGATTTGGAGTCTTAAAAAACAGATTTATCTTACTGAACTCAAAGTACAACTTGAAGATGTACTCAGCTGTTTACTTAAATTGCAGCAGGAGAAAATGTATCTTTGCAGATCTATTTTTATGTCATTTGCTTTTAGAGACGAGATTGTCTCTGGCACAGTAATTCAACTTAGTCTATGTCAAAAACATAGCCTGAAAATGCTCAAAAAAAATTATGAATAGCGGATTGTATTCTATGTGTTTTCAAATTTCTTCTATGATGTAAAATATATAACATAATGTTTTACCTTGGATTTCTAACCTCAGCCCTCAGCCATTTTCCCAATTTTTTTTTTTTGTTGTTGTTTTGAGATGGAGTCTTGCTCTGTCTCTCAGGCTGGAGTGCAGTGGAGCTATCTCGGCTCACTGCAAGCTCCACCTCCCGTGTTCATGCCATTCTCTTGCCTCAGCCTCCCAAGTAGCTGGGACTACAGGCACCTGCCACCACGCCCGACTACTTTTTTGTATTTTTAGTAGAGACATGGTTTCACCGTATTATCCAGGATGGTCTGGATCTCCTGACCTCATGATTCACCCATCTCAGCCTCCCAAAGTGCTGGGATTACAGGCATGAGCCACCTTGCCATGCCCCACTTTCCCAAACTATTAAAAGACCTTCCAAGGTGGGTCAAAAGCATTTTTCAGAGGAGATTATTCCTAACAGTAAAGGATAATAACAGATGGATAAAAATCTCAAATAAATTATGCCTCTATTTGCAGAAGTGTCACTCTCCAGAGTCTCCAAGATCCAGAGAATTTCCATGAGGTAGAGTAGTTTGTGGACATTTAGCAAAGTTGGTCCTGACTGCTGTCTCAGCCTCTTAATAGATGTGCAGCTATAGACAATTTACTGGACTTACAACAGTTATATAAACCTGGGCTGCAAGAAAACGCATAACACTGATTGCAAGAATGGCAATCACTTCTCATTCCTCTCTGATCTGGGCCCTCTGCAATGTACACTTGAGGATGCTTCCATGGAGGGAAAGATTTTCTTTTCCCAAATCTTGGATCGGGCTGGCCTTATTTGCTCTGCCTCATTCATACTTTTTGTTCTAATAAAATAATTAAGATGTTTAGTGTCTCATCCCAGCCTTTATCTTGTTAAAACTATATCTTATAATATGTCATCTCTCTTTACTATATTTGGTTATATTCATTCTATTCAATACTCAGGTAATTTTTTATCTCTGTTTAATTTAGTGTTTCACCTATACCTTGTCCTAATTTTTTTATTCTTTACATTCTACCGAGCTGTGATTCAAATATGATATTTGAATATGGAAAATGGTGGCCTAGTTTTTCTTCAGAAATTTATTTTTATTTACTTGTGTTCTTTAGTTTTTAACTTGGTTCCAATATTTGGGAAATATCACATTTGAGATGTCTGTAGTCATGTTATTTCTGTGCTTATTCCATTTTCCCTTGGAGGAAGGTGGACAGCATACAGACTTGACATCCTTGTGATCTATCAGTATCTGAAGGGACCACTTTTTTTCAGTTTGATTACTTCTCTGGCTTATTCTCTTGATTTACTTTAGCTTTCATCAAGTGCTTATATATTTTTAAACTGTATTCATTATTTTCATAGTTCTTGTAGCTTCTTGAGAACTTTTACTTGTCTACACTAAAATATTTAAAAATATGTAGCCTTTTCTTCTGAAAGCACAAATATGCAGTGTACACATGAGTAGAATATTTCATAGGCATTGGGCAGCATACAACCACATATTATGAGATATTCCGTTTCTTCATTCAAAACATCTCTCTCAAATATGTAGTAATAGTCACTTGTAAGGGGTAGTTCTTTTGATACTTAAAATTTTCTTTTATGTGCCTTTATGAAAATATATACTTAACTACAGAGAACAGAACTCTGTGCTTCCTTTTAGTATGTCCTTGGCCTCACAAAAATAATTCATGGAATCTTATATTTATTTTATAAATTAATTTAATGAAACAAAATTTGTGCATGGCTAAATATTACTTGTTGAGTACAATTTAGAATTTCTACTGTCATTTTAGTGTCCTAAAAGATATGACCTGTTGAATTTCTGCTCTCATGAAATGAATGATATTGTTAGGCCTAAACTCTTGCCATTTATTTTCCCCCTCTGTCATACAGTGTGTATCTTTGGTTCACTGCTGAAAAATTTTATTAATTTTTCTCTCTTGCTAGTAGTCATACTTTCTAATAAAGTTATTTATCATTACTTGTGTTTATTTAGTTACTGTATGTTAAACATTTGATTTCTGATGGTCTTAATGTCATTTAATATAATTGTAAATATTTCAATTTGTCATTATTAACAAATTTCTGTATTATATATTTTAGAGTCAGCTATTAAGTATATGTGGGTAAATGACTTAGAATAATTTCTAAAACATTGTAGGGGCTACTAAGTACTAATAACCCTGATTCATTAAATTTTTATTCCTTATAATATTCTTTATTTACTAAATTATTTTGTAATCTTATTTAAATTTATTCTTTTCTTTTCTAAATATTTGTGAAAAAGGGGTTAGGCTAATGTGTCATTTTGATAAAACTTCATGTCAAATGATATGTTTCACTGGTTTCTTTTAGATGTAATAGCTTTTTTGACTCAGGCAATACATGCAAGTATGAAGTATAAAAATTATAGTCTCAATCCTTAAGCTGAGGAAAAACTTGGCTATTTATTGATTTTAACAAAGCTACATTATCCCACGTAATACATAAAACTTTCACAAAGCTACATTATCCCACATAACAGGCATACCAGCTGCTTAGATCTGGAAACATGGATTGTTACAAATTAGAAGTAAATAACTTGATAGGCCCAATTTAACAAATGAAGCTCAAGAAGTGGAAGATATGAGACCTATAATGAAAGATTAAATTATTTTAAAAATCTTACCACAAAGAAAAATGAGAGTCAAATACTTTAACTGTTAAATTATACAAAATATTTCATAAAAATACCAATCCTTTACAAATACACACCATACATAGATAAGAGATAAACAACCCCTAACTACTTTATGAGGCCAATATTACTATACCAAAGCCAGACAAACCCATCATGTGTTAGGATTAATATGGGTACATACGGCTGATAAATAAAGACACATAATTCTCAAAAAGTACTAATAAGTTAAATACAGAAACACGTAAAAGTAATTATACACCATGGCCAAGTACAATCTTTTTACAAATGAAGTGGCTTAATATCTAAAAACCAATAATTTAATACACAACATTGATAAAGTGAAGAACATAAAATGATCCTTTTAATAGACACAGAAAAGCTTGTGATACAAACAACACTGATTCATTATAAAATCCTTAACATACTAGGAAGGAAAAACTTACTGGAACTACTAAAAAAGATTCATGAAAATTTCCCACTAATATTACACTTGCTGATGAAAGACTAGGCTCTTTGCCTCACAGTTGTGGGAAACAGATAAGCATGGCTACTTTCGCTACTCTACTAAATTGAACTAAAGGTGTTAGGCAGAGAAATTATATAATAAAAACAAATAAAACTTCTAAATTTATAAAATAAACTTTTATTGTAAATGGCATCAACTTATATTCAAGAATTTTTAAAGAGTTTACAAAAATCAACTGGAACTAATAAATGAGTTCAGCAGGTCACAAGATACAAGATAAATGCACAATATTAAATTGCACTTTTATACAGTAACTGGGGGCAATCAGTAAATAAAATTAGAAAAAATAATTCTACTCATTAGCTCAATGTGTAGTGGCTTAAAATTCCAAATATGCATTATGTCTTATTTTCTGTTGGCTACAAATACTGACACAGCTTAGTTGAATGGGTCTACCACAATGTCCTCATGTGTCCGGAATTGGTGGGTTCTTGGTCTCACTGACTTCAAGAATGAAGCCGCGGACCCTCACGGTGAGTGTTACAGTTCTTAAAGGCAGCGTGCCTGGAGTTTTTCCCTTCTAATGTCAGCATGTGTTTGGAGTTTCTTTCTTCTGGTGGGTTCGTGGTCTTTCTGGCTCAGGAGTGAAGCTGCAGACCTTTGTGGTGAGTGTTACAGCTCATAAAGGCAGTGTGGACCCAAAGAGTGAGCAGCAGCAGGATTTATTGCAAAGAGCAAAAGAACAAAGCTTCCACAGTGTGGATGGGGACCCGAGAGGGTTGCCACTGCTGGATCAGGCAGCTGCTTTTATTCTCTTATCTGGCCCCACCCACATCCTGCTGATTGGTCCATTTTACAGAGAGCCAATTGGTCTGTTTTACAGAGAGCTGATTGGTCCCTTTTCACAGGGTGCTGATTGATGCATTTACAATCCTTGAGCTAGACACAAAAGTTCACCACGTCTCTACTAGATTAGCTAGATACAGAGTGTTGATTGGTGTATGTACAAACCCTGAGCTAGACACAGGGTGCTGATTTGTGTGTTTATAAACCTTGAGCTAGATACAAAGTGTCGATTGGTGTATTTACAATCCCTTATCTAGACATAAATTTTCTCCAAGTCCCCACCAGACTCAGGAGCCCAGCTGGCTTCACCCAGTGGATCCCACACCAGGGCCGCAGGTGGAGCTGCCTGCCTGCCAGTCACACGCTGTGCTCCCGAACTCCTCAGCCCTTGGGTTGTTGATGGGACTGGGTGCCATGGAACAGGGGGTGGAGCTCGTTGGGGAGGCTCGGGCCGCACAGGAGCCCTTGGCCGGAGTGGGGGAGAGGCTCAGGCAAGGCGGGCTGCAGTTCCCGAGCCCTGCCCCGTGGGGAGGCAGCTAAGGCCTGGCGAGAAGTCGAGCACAGCAGCTGCTGGCCCAGGTGCTAAGCCCCTCACTGCCTGGGGCTGGCAGGGCCAGCTGGCCGCTCCAAGTGCGGGGCCACCAAGCCCACGCCCACCCGGAACTCGCGTTGGCCCGGAAGCACCGCGGGCAGCCTCGGTTCCTGCCCACTCCCCGCAAGATAAGGGAGCCGGCTCCGGCATTGGCCTGCTGAGAAAGGGGCTCCCACAGTGCAGCGGTGAGCTGAAGGGCTCCTCAAGCGCGGCCAGAGTGGGCCCCAAGGCTGAGGAGGCACCAAGAGTGAGCGAGGGCTGTGAGGGCTGCCAGCATGCTGTCACCTCTCACTCATGAGACTGAAGCTGTGTCTCAACTGAAGCTTGACTGGGAAGGATGCACTTCTGAGCTCAATCTGGTTAGTTGTGCATTATTGTTTTGACTCAGTTCTTAGTTTCTTTCTGTCTTTGGTCAGGGCACTCTCTCCATTCTCTGTCACACAAGCCTGTAAAAATGAAAGCTTAAAACACTGAAGCTCGCTTCTCCAGAGCAAAGTATGCGACAGACAGAGAGAAAGACAGGAAAAAAGGAAGTAAACAATATCACAAGAGAGAGAAAGTAAGAAGCAAGTGACAATCTTTTCATAATCAAATATTGGAAGTGACATTCCCTATTTTCCAATGTATTCTACTGCCATGAAGTGAGTCACTAACCACTTACTGTTTACATTTGGGTGTGTATAGTTGGAAATAAAAATTATTATGAGCCATCATGAAGGCTGTGCACTATGTATGCCAAGGTGAGACAAATGGGCCTGATTCTAAATATAACGAGAAGGTACTACAATGTGTGTTGTTGTTATTGTTGTTGTTCTGGCCAAAGAATAACAACATCTAAATTTTATTCAATTTCAATGTTTTCATGGTGGAGTTTGAAAAATAAATTCAAGAGGGGACATGACTTTCTCAAGATTCAAGTTATAAAACCCAGGCATGTTTGAGAGATATTCAAGCAATGTCCCATCCCTTGTAGTTTCTTTCTCTAAGTTTATGCAGTAGCTGTGTTTAATATCAAACCCAACAGTCATGCGTATCATTTTATACATATCTCATGAGATCCCTTGCAGCTGGATGCCACCATAATCCCCACTGTGCAGGCTGTGAGACTATGGAGCCCCTGAGAGGCACAATGACATACTTGGCATCACAGAATTAATACATTAAACATAAAGACTTTAACTCAGCTTGTATCCTCAAACTTGCGGCTCTGGCTGCATTCCATTTCCTCCGGGACTGGTGCAGGAGGTGCTGTATTTGCATAATTGTGCACAAGTAATCAGATGACTTGGGAGAGAATGGTGAGCAGTCAGCAGTGCAGAAAAGCCTTTGAGTAGGTCTTATTGAAGGAAGATAGGTCTTATTGAAAGAAGAATAATACCTTCAAGAAGTGACCTCATTTCTTTGGTGAAAGGCCCTAACAGTACTAAGTATTCTGGTAACCAAAAACTCACATTCTAAAGACAGTCGACCATACAGCACTGTTGGCCAGAATCTCTCAAGAGAGAAAGATGTTCTGCTGTATAACAACTTTCTGAGGCTCTTTCTTTGAGGTTCTGTTCCTCACAAGTAGCACCTTCTAGCTATGTCTTCACACGACAGAAGGGGCATGAATATTCCTTTCAACCTCCGTCACACGGGCACTATTATTTTCTCGTTAACATGCAGCCCTCCTGACTTAATAACTTTCTCAAAGTTCCAATAACTAATAGTATCACACTGAATCCACGTGTGGATTAAGTTTTTAAATATGAATGTGGAGAGTGAGGAACACAAATATCCAGACCATAGCAAAAAGTTAATAAGCAATAACAATTGCAGTGGACAGTATTATTAATGCTTGGGATATGGGAATTTGATGTTTCTATCACAAAGGTTAAACAATGGTTTATCCTTGGCCGGGCATGATGGCTCAAGCCTGTAATCCAAGCACTTTGGGATGTCAAGGCAGGCGGATCACAAGGTCAGGAGATCGAGACCATCCTGGCTAATACGGTGAAACCCCGTCTCTAGTAAAAGTCCAAAAACATTGCTGGGTGTGGTGGCGGGCGCCTGTAGTCCCCGCTACTAGGGAAGCTGAGGCAGGAAAAAGGTGTGAACCCAGGAGGTGGAGCTTTCAGTGAGCTGAGATCACACCAGTGCACTACAGCCTCGGAGACACAGCAAGACTCCATCAAAAAAATAAAATTAAATTAAAACATATAACAAAATTAAGGTCCAATTAAAGGTAAATATATATAGCAAAAAAAAAATTCAAGCTCTGATAAGGTTAATTGTAACAGATTGTGCCAGAATTTTGAGATTTCTGGGGATGGACAGAGCCCAAGAGTTTCCTTCTATAACAATTTCTGTGAAGTTTCTTACACTCTTATTCAATTTGAACGTGGATAAATGGGTTTTCTCTGTTTTGTTATTTAAGAGATTCATGATAAGGAAGGCCTATTTATGCATGATTCTTAAACAATTATTGAGTCAGTGGTGTCTGCTGAGGAAGGGCACAGAATCTCATGCCCACAGAAGCATGATGTTCTGTCAGATAGGAGACTTCTCCCAGAGCCAGAACTTCATCTTTCAAATGGAATTAGAGATTTTCACAGGCATACATTGCTCTGAAGCCCTATCAGAGGCTTAGCACTGAGAATATGACCAAAGAAGGTGACTAATAAACATATGACCTAGTACTCTGATCTACAGTGATTCTACCCTCTCAAATAGCTCTTCCCTGGCTCTGGAATCTTTTCTGGATTCATCTACCAGAAACAGATACACTGAAAGATTGAGAAGAAGCTTTTATTCTCACTGTGAGTCTTGCCCTGTCTCACCATCTTCTCTAGAAGTGCAATGTTCTAACTATTCCTGAGAGACTTCATCTCAGGTAGCTCTCTCTGACAACATAATTGAGAAGAGAAACGAGCAAGACTCAGATTATTTTGAAGGCTTGTCTAGGGTTCTTACATGATTTATGTCTCCAATTTATGTCAATATTGACAAATATAGATTCATCTCTAGATGGTAGAAAAACAGAAGGAGGAGCCTCTGCTCACAGAGAAAATAAAAGATGAATTCAATGTTTTGTAGAGCCAGCTTATTTTAAACCATGGGGCATTTAATCTTTTTAGAAAAAAACAAAAGCAATAGGGTTTTTTGTTTTTGTTTTTGCTTTTGCTTTTGTGTTTTCGTTTTGGTTTTTTTTTTTGTTTGTTTTTTCCCTGAAGCAACTCAACTGTGGCCTCAGACAACTGGGCACTGAGAACGCATGCTCCTCACTAGAATTTCATTACTACATTGCAGAGAAATGGGATAATTACAAAGGATTTTTTTTTTTTGAGATGGAGTCTTCCTCTGTCATCCAAGATGGAGTGCAGTGGCATCATCTCAGCTCACAGCAACCTTGGTCTCTCAGGTTGAAGCAATTCTCCTGCCTCAGCCTCCCAAATAGCTGGGACTACAGGCATGTGCCACCTTGCCTGGGTAATTTTTATATTTTTAGTACAGACTGGGTTCCACCATGTTGGCCAGATGGTCTCGATTTCCTGACCTCGTTATCCACCCTCCTTGGTCACCTAAAGTGCTGGGTGTGAGCTGCTGTGCCCAGCCCAAAGGATTCTTAAGGGTGATATGGGGGATGGAATGGAAAAAATAAACTTAGTCTTTGCACTTCCACCTGGTCTAACTAACCCTACTCTCATCCTATCCCAAAATTATTGCCAGACTTTTCTGGAGTGTGCCAGGGGCAATTCAGAAGGAAAAGAGGTTATTCATGCCTATCCATTTCCCATAGCTCCTGAGATCTAAGTCGTTCACTCCCCTGGTTTCAGGTTGTTGCTCCCCTTCTATATCCTCAGAATTAATGTGATCCATTCCAATACTTATAATTGTACCTTTATCTGATCCCCTCCTATTTTGCTGTAGACATTTTATGTAGTAGATCCAGTTGTAATAGAGACAAGAATGTTTATATACACCATAATCAGAACTAAATTGGAGTTCCATAACCCCTTTTTTGACTGGGCTGCTACTCAGAAATCATACAAACCAGGCTGCCTGGAGGTTGCAGTTAGGAGAAATCACATCTTGCCCAGGAATGTCAGTGTGGAAACTCAGATTTGGAAAATAGATTCCTATAGCCCCAATCATTTTGCAACACTTCTGCAGAGTTAAAAGAAAGCCAGTATCTAACAGAAAATCTTGAGCTTGCAGAATAACAGAAAAGAAAAAAAAAACAAAAACACAACTTGCCAAAACACTGAAACTCCCTCTACTTATGAAATAAACAAACTGGCTTAAATTGGTGGAATCATTATGGCCAAATGGTGTTTTGGCAGAATCACCTTGCTGAGGTCACCGTCTGAATTTTCACTGCCTGTTTCATCACAACTCCCCTTCAGTTTGCCTATGACATCCATGAGGAGGCAATGAGCTTGAGAGTAACGTTTCAGTATAAAATTGCTTTCTCTTAAAAACCTGATGTCATAGTATTGGCTTCTAGCACTTCAAGAAGTGAGCTCCTTTTACTCAATAACAATGTTATCTATATCTTAGAGACAGTCAACAGGAGATAATCTCTTCTGGGACCAAAGAAGGTGACTAATAAACCATTTAATCAACACATTACCTAACCAAAAGCTGTGGACCCTGATGAGGAAAATAAGTTAAAATGAGACTATTGGCTCATTTTAATAGATATGGTGATAAAAGCAAAAAAAAAAAAAAGAGAGAGAATTTAAGCGGTCTCAAATACCTAAAAGATGACATGGATTAGCTTCAAGTAACACATAATGTGGCTGGAGTCAGCTGATCTTTATGCTGAAAGTGTCAACAGTAGTGACAAATACTTCAAGTAACGGGTCAAAAGTCTAAGACAGTCATTCTGCCAGAAATGGTCTGGGACTTCCCCATACATGGGACACGTAGATCAACTTTCTCCAAGAACCACCAACCTGGCATGCAGTGATGACCTCTGCAGTAGACAGGGATTTAGGCTTGATTGTTGTTCATCTCTTTGGAGACATAACCCTAATTGTGAACTTCTAAATTAATGGCCTGACAATTAGATCAGCAGCTAAGATAAATTTCAGTTTGCAGCCCCAAAGAAGATGTTCTTAATTAGACAGTTAATCATTTTCAATATGGAAGCCTAAACACGTAGAATGTGGCAATAACCCGGAACTCTCAGTTCTGACAATTGAGTGAAGTAATCACCCCAGATTCAGGTTCTTCATTGGCTGACAATGAGATCAAACACCCACACCAGCCCAGTGAACACCATGAGGTGTCATCTTCCCTGGCCCATTAGTGAACCAGGAACAGATATTTAGAAAATATTCAGTAAATTGGGGAGTCCCACAGAGTCAGAAAGTTTGCTTGAGATAGTGGAGGGTGGCATAAAATTTCTACCGAATATGAATTTTAATTTTTACTTTAGTGCCGTTTCTATTTTAGTCTAATTTCCTTCTAGAATATGTTATTTCTATTTACCAAGTGGCCTCCTGTGGTCTTTTTCATAGAGTTCAAATCGACCCATCTAAAAACAGAAAGATCAAGCTAACGACCTCCCTCAGGGGTCAGAATTCAGTTTCACAGCTCTGTAGCAAGCTCATTGTTGACTTACAAATTAGTGTAACCAATAGTAACGTCATGGTGACCATAACTCCAACATCCCAAAAAGTACCTCAAGTTAGAGGCTGACTTCATTTATCAGAGGATTCAAATGGCAAAATCAAGCTTTACTAGATCACTGGATTACTGGAAGAAGTGAGCAATGCGAATCTGCAATATAGTTTCACTAAACTTTAATAGGACAGCAAGACTGTAGATATTTTAGCCCTCTCAAAATATGAATCTTCTGATCCTTTCATCTAGAATCTCTATGTGTGCCATAAAGTCCTAACTCTGCTTGTGCCTATACTTTCTGTTCATGCAGAGATTAAAAGACAAACAGGTGGGAGCTTAGTGTTTTAGCGTTTTTCCTGAGAATCTGTCTAGCCTAGAGCATCCCCATTTTTTTCTAGATTCCAAGGAGTACTATCACTATCCTAATTCTCAGTGTCTTGTTTCCAAGTATTTCCTCCTACGATTGTCAGCGTGACTACCTTTTTACCCCACTGATAGTGTTTGCTCCAGGTGAACTGGGTAGTTCATTTTTATTTAAATGCTTCCATAAGCGTTAAGCTATTAATTTAAGATTTCTTTGTTTTTTATAAAGTAATTCTGCTGTTTCCCTCAGAGCTCAACTTTCACTAAGTCTCATAAATTTTATTATGTTTTGTCTAAATGTCTATTTATGTTAAAATATTCTCTGACACTATTTGTACATTTTTTATTCATTAATTATTTAAGATTGTGTCATTTAATGCACACATGTTTGCATTTCCCAAATTTCTTGCTTTTTTGGTCTCTAATTTTCTCTTTTGTGATTAGAAAACATTCATTTTATTATTTCAATCTTTCAATTTTATTGATTTTTTTTATGATGCAGCATATTCTCCATTCTAGAGAATGTTCTATGTGCATGTGGGAAGAATATATATTCTGATTTGGGGTGAAGAGTTCTCCATATATCTCTAGTTTTATTTGGTTTATGTTATTCATGTCTTCTATTTCCTTGTTTCTCTTATGTCTAGTTCTTCTACCCAATAGTGTAAGTGGGGAAGTGAAGCTTGCAATTTTTATTGTTGAAACTATCGTTGCAACTATTTCTGCCTTTATTTCTATCAGTTTTGCTTTATGTACTTCTGTGAACTTTTGTCACATTCATATATGTTAATTTATTTTCCTCATGAATTTATCCTTCTAATTATAATCTATCTTCATCTCTAGTAATAGTATTTGTTGTCTTAAAGTATATCCTAATTTTTTGATTTTTGGTTTTTCTGGGTGCATAGTAGGTGTATACCTTTATGAAGTATATAGAATATTTTGATACCGTCATACAATGTGTAATAATTACATCAGAGTCAATGGGGTATTCATCACATGCAGTATTACTATTGGATTTCAAATAACCAAATTATACAATTTCTGTTATTTTAAAATGTACACTTAAATTATTCTTAACTAGAGTCACCTTGTGCTGTCAAATGCTAGAACTGATTCATTCTTTCTAACTATATTTTTATACCCATTAACCATTCCCACCTCCCCGCCCTCAACCTTCTACTACTTCTCTCAGCCTCTGGAGACCATCATTCTACTCTTTATCTCCATTAATTCTTTGGTTTTAATTTTTAGCTTTAACAAATAAGTGAGAACGTGTGAAGTTTGTCTTTCTATACCTGGCTTATTTCACTTAATAAAATGACCTTCAGTTTAACCCATGTTTTTACAAATGACTGAATCTCATTCATTTTTATGTCTGAATAGTACTACATTGTGTATATGTACCACTTTTTTGTTTATTCATCTGTCGATAAACACCAATGTTACTTCCAAATCTTGGCTATTGTGAATAGTGTTGCAGTAAACACAGGAGTACAGCTATCACTTCAATACACAGATTTTTCTCTCTTTTGGATATATACCTAACAGTGAAATTGCTGGATTGTACAGAAGCTCTATTTTTAGTTTTCTGATGAATCTTCAAGCTGTTCTCCATAGTGGTTCCACCAACTTACATTCCCACCAACAGCATATGAGGGTTCCCTTTTCTCCGCATGCTTGTCAGCATTTGTTATTGCCTTTTAGCTAAAACCCACTTTAACTGGGGTGAGGTAATAGCTCATTGTAATTTTGATTTGCATTTCTCTGATGATTCATGATGTTGATCATCTTTTCATATACCTATTTGCCATTTGCGTGTCTTTATTGGAGTAATGTCTGTTTACATATTTTGCCTATTTTTTAAAATAGGATTATTAGATTTTATTTTCTATAGAGTTATTTGAGCGCCTTCTATGTTTTGGTTACAAATCCATTTTCAGATAGGTAGTTTGAAAATATTTTCTTTCATTCTGTGGGTTGTTTTCTCACTTTGTTGATTCTTTTCTGTGCCATGCAAAATTTTATAACTTGGTGTGATACCAATTTTCCATTTTGCTTTGGTTGCCTGTGCTTGTGAGGTGTTACTCAAGAAATCTTTGCTTAATCCAAGGTTTTTTAGAATTTCCCCAATGTTTTCTTTCAGAAGTTTCATAGTTTGCAGTTTTACATTTAAATATTTAATCCATTTTGATTTAGTTTTTGCACATGGCAAAAGATAGAGGTCTAGTTTTATTCCTCTGCATATGGATATCCAGATTTACCATCACTGTTTATTGAAGAGACTGAGTTTTTATTCTTAATATATTTTCTTGGTGCCTATGTAAAAAATGAGTTCACTGTAGATGGATGGTTTGGTTCTGGGTTCTCTATTCTGCTCCATTTTCCTGTGTGTCTGTTTTTATGCCAGTACTATGCTGTTTTGGTTACTACACATCGGTAGTATAATTTTGTGTAATGTAATAATGTATGCTATGTAATGGGATTCCTCCAGTTTTATTCTTTTTGCTCAGGATAGCTTTAGCTATTCTAGGTCTTTTGTGATTATATATAAATTTAAGATTTTTTAGAGCTGTTGTATTTATTTGTGTGAGGAATGTCAATGGTATTTTTACAGAAATTGCGTTGAATCTGTAGCTTGCTTTGTGTAGCATGGACATTTTAATATTGATTCTTCCAATCCATAAACACAGAACACTGACTAATACAATCTGCAAATGGGTAGTTTGACTTCCTCTCCTCTTATTTGAATGCCTTTATTTTTTTCTCTTGTCTGATTGCTCTGGCCAGGATTTTCAATACTATGTTGAACAGGGCTGGTAAGAGAGGGCATCTTTGTCTTGTGCCAGTTTCCAAGAAAAATGCTTCCAGTTTCACCCATTCAGTATAAAGTTGGCTGTGGGTTTGTCATAGATGACTTTTATTATTTCAAAGCATGTTTCCTCAATACCTAGTATATGGAGAGTTTTAACATAAAGTGGTTTTGAATTTTAATGAAAGCTCTTTCTGCATCTATTACAATAATCATGAGGTTTTTGTCTTTCGTTCTGTTTGTATTATGAATCACATTTATTGATTTGCATATGTTGAACCAACCTTGCATCCCAGGGAAAAAGCCTACTTGATTGTGGTGGATAGGCTTTTTGGTGTGCTGCTGGATTTGGTTTGCCAGTATTTTATGGAGAATTTTTGCATCAATATTCATCAAAGATATGAAATTTTTCTTTCTTTTGCTTTTCTTCCAGGTTTTGATATCAGAAGGGTGCTGGCCTCATAGGATGAGTGAGGAAGATGATCCTCCTCAAATTTTTGGGAGTTTCAGTAGGAATGATACCAAATTCTTCTTTGCATATCCAGTAGAATTTGGCTGGGAATTCGTCTTTTCCTGGGCTTTTTAAAATTGATAGTCTATTTATTACAGATTCAATTTTGGAGCATGTTATTGGTCTGTTCAGGGATTCAATTTCTTCCTGGTTCAGTCTTGGAAAGGTGTACATGTCCAGGAATTTATCTATTTGTTCTAGGTGTTGTAGTTTTTTTGCATAAAGGTGTTCATCATATTCTCCGATGTTTATTTCTATTTCTGAGGAGCCAGTGGTAATATCCCGTTTGTTGTTTCTGATTGTCTTTGTTTGGATCTTCTCTCTTTTCCTCTATATTAGTCTAGCTAGTAGTCCACATTTAAAACAAAACCTACTCCTGGATTCATTAATCTTTTAGTTTTTTTGTGTGTGTCCTAATCTCAGTTTATCTCTGATTTTGGTTATTTCTGTCTTCTTCCAGCTTTGGGGTTGGATAGCTCTTCATTCTCTAGATGTTTTAGTTGTGATATTGAGTGGTTAAATTGAGATCTTTGTTACTTTTTGTGGTGGGTGTTCAGCAACATCAGTTTTTTTCTCAACACTGATTTAGTTGCATCTCAGGGATTCTGGTAGGTTGTGTCTTTGTTCTCATTACTTTCAAATAACTTTTTGATTGATGCCTTAATTTCATTATTCACACAAAAGTCATTCAGGAGTGAGTTATTTAATTTTTATGTAATCATATGGTATTGAGTATTGGTTTTCTCAACTTTTACCTCCAATTTTACTGTACTCTGGTCTCGGAGAGTGGTTGTCATAATTTGAATTCTTTTATAATTTCTGAGAACAGTTTTATGTCGATTAAGTGGTTGATTTTAGAGTATGTGCCATGTGGCAATGAGAACGTATATGTTGTTGTTTTTGGTGGAGAGTTCTGAAAGTGTCTGTTACATCCATTTGATCCAGTGCTGCATTCAGATCTTGAATATCTTGTTAATTTTCTGCCTTAATAATCTAATATTGTCAATGGGTTGTTGAAGTTTTTCACTATAATTGTGTAGGAATCTAAGTCTTTTTAAAGACCTCTAAGAACTTGCTTTATGAATTTGGGTGTTCCTGTGTTGGGTGTGTATATATTTAAAATGTATATATTTAAATATGAATACATATATTCTTGTTGAATTTAACCCTTTAGCATTTTGTAATGCCTTTTTGCCTTTTTAAATCTTTGTTGTTTTAAAGTCTGTTTGTCTAAACTTAGGGTTGCAACCCATTCTTTCTGCTGTTTTCCATTTGCTTGGTAGATTTTTATCCCGTCATTTTCAGCCTATGAAACTGATTGCATGTGAAATGAGTCTTGATGACAGCATATCATTGGTTCTTTGTTCTTTATCCAGTTTCCCACTGTTTGCCTTTTAATTGGAACATTCAGCCCATTTACATTCATAGTTAGTGTTGATATGTGTGCATTTGATGCTGCCATTATAATGGTAGCTGCTTATTATGCAGACTTGTTTGTGCGCAACTGGTCTGTATACCTCAGTGTGTTTTTTTAGTGGCTAATAAAGGTTTTTTTCACCTATATTTAGTTCTTCCTTCAGGAGCTCTTGTAAGGCATGTCTTGTAGTAATGAATTTCCTCAGCATTTGCCTGTTTAAAAAGAACTTTATTTCTCCTTTACTTATGAAGCTTAGTTTGGCCAAATACGAGATTGTTGATTGGAATTTATTTTCTTCAAGGAGGTTAAATATTGGTATTGGTCTCTTCTGGCTTGTAGGATTTCTGCTAAAAGGTGTACTTTTACACTGATAATCTTTCCTTTGTGGTTGACCTCCCTTTCCTCTCTAGCTGCATTTGTCATTTTTTCTTTTATTTCATGCTTGAACAATCTGATAACTATGTGTTTTGGTGATTATTATATTGTGAAGTATCTTACTGGAGTTTTCTGCATTTCCTAAATTTGAATGCTGGCCTCTCTAGCCAGCATTCCCCAGGTTGGGGAAGTTCTCATGAATGATATCCTAAAATATGTTTTTCAAATGGCTTCCATTCTCCCCACCTGTTTCATGAACACCAGTGGGTCATACCTTTGGTCTCTTTACATAATCTTATATTTTTCAGAGGCTTGGGGGTTTTTATTACTCTTTTTTATTTCTGTCTGTATGTCTGACTTCACATAAACAGTCTTCAAACTTTGAGATTCTTTCTTAGCTTTGTCTATTCTACTATTAATAGTTGTGAATTTCTTATAAAAAAATTTAGTGTGATATTTTTAGCTCTCTCAGGTTAGTTATGCTCTTAATACTGGCTCTTTTGTCTCTCAGCTCCTGTATCATTTCATTATGATTCTTAACGTTTTTGAATTGAGTTTCAAGTTACTTCTGCATTTTAATGATCTTTATTTCTATTCATATTCTGAATTTGATTTCTGTAATTTTAGCTATCTTGGACTGATTTATAAACTTACTGGAGAGGTAGTGTGGCCATTTGAAGGAAAAGAGGAACTCAGGTTTTTTGAGTTGTCAGAGGTTTTGTGCTTGTTCTTTCTTATCTTTCTGGGGTGATATTTCTTTAATATTTGAAGTTGTCAACTTTTGGATTTTTCCTTTTATTCTGCTTGATGACCTTAAGGGTTTAATTGTGTTATAAGGTTGTCTCAGTCGAGTGGTTTTGTGTGTATTCATGTAGGCGAAGGTGGCTGCTCAGGGCTGAGGAGAGTATGCTGTTTTTTGTGCTTAGTTGTACTCAAATGACAGTGTTGACAAAGGAGGACGGTGCTGGTGTTGTGGGGCTGATGGTCTCTGTTTCCCCCAAGATTCTGTCTGCAGTGGTGGTATAGCAGGAGAGGGGGCCTGGAGTACACTCCTACCAACAGCAGTGCCAGGGCAGAATGCATATGCACATGTGCACTGACAGGGCAGGGAAAGCAAGATCCTTCCATGCACACACACACACACACACACACACCAGCATAGTGATGTGTGGGGTGGCAATGGGCCTTGGGGGGAAGCTGCAGTGAGGAGAGAGAGCAGGCAGGCTGATGCCTGGATGGGGTCACCCCACTGGAGCTGTCTACTAGTCAGACATGATCTGCCAGTTCAGGATCTATGATGCAGGCCCCCAGGGTACTCAAGGCTGCACTGCAAGCATGCAGGGCCGAATTGGGGTCGCAGGAGAGGCCAGCACACCAACGCAAGCTCAGGTCAAAACAGCCCCATCTGATGGGCCACCACCCTGCAGACTTTTTCTCCAAAATTTCCCCTAGGGCTAACGTCTCTTATGGGAGCAAGTTAAGCTTATTGGTGTGGGCATCCCTGGACATGCTTCACTACACATGTTCCCACAATAAACCCTCTTGGCTGTGCACTGGCTGGTGCGCTGCCCCTGTCACTTCTCTAAGCAGCTCTTCCTTTCAACTCATTTTCCATGATGGTCAGAGGGTCTCTGCCAGTGGGATTCCAGAGGCCAGTCAGGAAAGCAGGTAGCTCCTTGCCACTTAAACTCACCTGTTTTTCTCAGAGTCACTGGGGGCCAGAAATCAGTTCCACTGTGCTTTAGCCCTGTGCAGGGTTCCCAGCTTCTGAATCTTAAGTTCAGATGTTGTGTCTTTCCTCCTTCCACTATCAGTACCTGCCCTCGGTTAAGAGTGTGCCAGTCATCCTGGTCCCTTGGTGTCAGCTGTTCCACCTTGGCTTGTCTATTCAGCCATCTTGCTCAAATACACAAAGTCTTATAAATCAATAATAAATAGACAATTGACTACTTGAAAAATGTGCAAGGAATTTGAATTAAAAATTTCTACAGATAAGAAGCAAAATTTGTCATTAAATTTAAAATATGTGACATTATTAGTTTAGAGAAATGCAAATCAAAAGCTCAATGACATACTTAGTAGAAGACCTGTAAAAGGCAATAAAAAAGGTTGCCAAAGATATCAAAAATATGAAAGCCTCACACATTGTATGTGAGAGTGTAAAAAACAACCGATTTAAAGAACAATTTGGCAATTATTCAAAATGCTATAAATAGTATCACCATATGACTGAGACATTTTACTCTGTTACGTACTCAAAAGAAATGAAAACCTATGACTACACAAAGAATCAGATGTAAATGATCAAAGCAGCAGTATTTGTAATAGCCCAAAGGGGATAAAACCAAAATATCCATCAAATAATAACAGAAAAAATAACGTGTGGTGTGTCCATACAATAAAATACTATGTGCCAAACAAAGAAAATGAAGTAATAATACCTGCTATGTCAGGAAAAAACCTCAAAATCACTAAAGTAAGTAAAATAAACCAAATGCAAAAGGGCAGATAATTTATGATTTCACTTAAAATAACTTTTAATAAAAGGCTTATATATAAAAACAGGCTAATGATTGCCTATGACCAGGGTAATGAAATCAGTAAGTACAAAAGAGATTAATTTCTTTTTCCATAGTGATAAGGTTATTTCAAAATTAGATTGCGGTTATGGGTGTCTGTAAATACACTTTAAAAACTTGGAATTGTACACTTAAAACATGTGATGGTTTTGTTATAAAATTATATCCCTCTAAAATGTTTCCAAATGAAACTGTTGACTTTTGGAGAACTAAGTCACAGACTGTAAAACCAAACCCATTTATTGTTCATCTCAAGGCATGTTAAATAAAGAGGAAAAGACAAAGATATAGTTATAACATTAAAATCTTCATGGCAAATAGTTATAAGAAAAAAATTACAATTGTAAAATGTATTAATAGACATAAATTACCTGCTTAGATTTAGCAGGCCAGAAATGTAAATTAAATAATAGTACACTATTGAAGACCACTCTGAGTCACTGATTATTAGAAACTTGTTATGATGTCATCATAGGGTTAAAATATTCCTTATCAAAAATGACTCACAGCAAAAATGTTAAATAAAGTGTGTTAGTGGCACCCCTGTCCACAGTTGCTGGTACTTTTAGTGTATGGCCAATTAGAAAGCTGCTCTTTTGTCCCTCATTTGTAACCAATTTCAACACTCAAATTCAATATTGAACTCCTAAATATATTGATAAAACATGTGAGAAGATGTTTGACTTGTTTTATTGTAAAACAAGGCTAATATACAGTATGTGAAAGTTTCCATAAAATTCTTAAATTATATATTTAAAAGATATTATGAAAATAAAAAATCTTAGCAAACATAGGGAGAATTATAAACTAACATTTATCATACATACCCACCACAAGACTTCAGCAATTCTCACATTTTTTATCTTTCATTTTTAATTATCAACTTCAATTATTCTGGTAATATTTTCAAGTAAGCATATTATGTTGTCAGTTTGTAGAAATTTGAGTACCTATATCTAAGAAATAAAGAGAAAAATAAAAATAGTACTATAAAATCTAAGTAAATACAAGTATTTTCTAATATTGTACTAAAGAGTTTCTTGATTCTTTACGTGCAAAACAGTAGAACTTAGCAACCTCCAAGACTTTATGAGAAATAACAATTTAAGACTAATATTTATCCTGGAGACTCAAAGTGACTATAAATAAATATATCTTTAGTTAATAAAGCTTAAAAATAAAGTATTAGTAAAAACACATTTTGAAGATGGCTGACACCTTTGTTACTAGACATGGGGCTTGTGCTGTAAATAACTACTTTAAAAGTCCATGGAAAAGGGATTTTCAACCAAAAAGTCTATAGAAAACAAAAAATTTTGGTTTTTCTGAACTCAGGATGTGAGGCCAGCTTTTAAAGCACGGAATTTAAAAAACCCTCAAGACCCTAAGCTTGATAAGCACGTCACCAGCAGGTCTCATTTTTCAGCTCTGTGCACCAGGTGGCATGTCTAGCAAAATGTCCCCTCTCATGTCAGGTTTTTTCTATGAACTCAGAATGACCACTGTCCCTTAGTATGCAGCCCTGCAGTGGACCCAAAAATGACAATCAATCAGGTCCAGAGTTGCTCATTATGGCCTTTCCAGAATGTAATTATCTAAGGACAATTCTCCCCTTGTAAAATTAAGAAAGTATCAGAATATTTGCCTAATTTTTGATAACATCATACTGTGAGCCACAAAAAAAGCAAGAATTTAAAATGTAAGGGATTACCTGGATCCTAGGGCACAGAAATACACCTCAAATAGAATAGTTTCACACACGATTTTATATGTGGACTTCCTGTGTGGAAGAAAAGAATGTGGGGGTCAATAGTAGAGAAGTCTGTATGTAGTGGAATTTTAAGAAATCAGAGAGGCCGATGGGGTTCAGGAGGGTATTTATTAATTATTTAGGTGCACTGGTCCAGTCGGATTAACATCCAAAGAATGAGTCCTGAACAAAGAGTTAAGTTACCTTTTAAGCATTTCATGGGTGGGGAGAGATTTGTGCAGGGAGAATCATACTACAGAAGCAAGAAACAAAGACAGTTATTCAATTGAGACATGCATTACATTATTTCTTACTTTTCAAGGAAAAACCTGTTTTGTGACTTGAATTTATCTGTCTAGTGACCTTGCAGCTTCACAGCTTGGGAAACAGGGTCTTCACAATCCCTGGGAAAGGAGGAGAGATAAGGATCACTAGCCACAGAAAAACAGGCAGTTAGTTTTTAAAGGACTGCAGCTCTTACTCTTTCTCAACAGAAGTTGGGTTTTCTTACACACAAGTGAGTTTCTGCTTACACACTCTTTAATCTCTTATAATTCCTGTTCCATTCTCCCCATTGGTGCTTTTTATAACAGAGGTGTTAATAGAAAGCACCATTATTTGCCAAGTCTTCATGGAGCTGAGCTTTTTCTTCTTCTGGCGGTGGCTGATATCTGGTTAATGCATCAACTGTACAGTAGTGTTTTGGGCTACCATTGCCTCCATAGTTGACTGAATACTCCTAATAAACAGAGACAAAAGGCAAGGGAGGATAAGGCAGATGCAAAGAATAAGCAAGAACCTACTAATGAGGGTTTAGAATTTTTCAAATGCTGAGAACCATCCTCCAAACAAGGAATCCGGGGACTACCTGGATCAAGTCTGAAGTGGAACCTGGGCCAACTTGTGCATTCTAGCTGTAATTTTTATGACCACTAATATTGATTTCTTGGCTATTGATTTCTAGGCAACAGTTGGTTAAATTAAATTTTCTACATATTCCTCCTTCGGAGGATAAGAGATAATTTAAAGCCAGCCTATTTTGATATATAGCATTTCCTTTTTGTGTTGCTTGTATTGCCAATAAATCTAGTGCCCTCGATATTTCATTGGTTATGATTTGAAGGACTGCCTGCAACTTCATGATGCGGCTGAGGATACAGATTATGGTGCAGTACCCTCATGACCTGTCTTGCACCTAGGTAGCTGGCCCATAGCATGTCATGATTCTTTCAGGAGGTCATTTATTACCTTTTTAGTCTCCTGTGTCCACATCTTTTTTGATATTTTTGTTACTTTTGTGATTATGCTTTTTCTAGTTCTTCTTTTATTTTTATTATAAACTGGATATTCTAAGAATTTCCCTTGCTTTAGAGGAATTAGAAAGAAGGATGGCTTGATTGCTTTTAACAGACACGCCCCTGCCCATTTTGCTGGCAGTTGCCAATATGCCCATGCTCCACAGATCCAATATAGGCCAGAGGGTGCCTTTCAAGCATTTGAATCATCTACCTGATGCCAAGTGCAGCTTAGAGTAAGGAATCCAGAGAAAGTGTTTGGATCTGGTAAGTAGGAGTCATTCTGGGCATTTCTTCATAGAGTTTTGTTTTTAGTCTCGTAATAATACTGTTGCCCTAGGCAGGTTGTTTTTCCTACTGCCTCTGTGAAAGCCTTTCCCCATCGAGTGATACAGTACTTTCCAGTTATGGAGATTTCTAACAATCAAACACTGGCTGAGGCTGTTGGTTCACTGGCAGGGTTAAGCAGAGTGAAGTTATCTTGTGGCATTAATTCCTTTGCCTCCCATTGCCACTCATTCTCCATATTAGTTTCTCTACATACATAGCATGAAGAAATTTTTAAGCTGTCATCTGTGTCTTCAGCTAGTTGAGCAAATAAGTTTTTGGTTGATGGGGGAACCTCGGTCACTGGCTGATCAAAATGTTTACAGAATGACTTGGTATTGAGGGGTTGGATGCATTTGAGTCCTTATAGTATTTTTGACAATTAGTAGTGGAACTCCAAGACCTGCTCCTTGTCTATCAACTCGTAATAGTGCTGTCTGTCCTGTAGACCAAAAAGGTAGCTCTGGCTTTAAGATAGTAAAATTTAAAGGATCGCATGTCCTTGTCTTACAATCTGGTTTTTAGGATTATGAACATACGTGGCATGGCAGTCATCAAAGAAGAAATAGGCCCTTTTTAGAAGGGTGGGATTTCTTTGGTTTGAGCTATAAGCTTTCCTTCTGTTTCTCCCTCTGATTTAATATGTACCTCAAAATAGAATTAATAGGGTAAGAGCCCAGGCTCATAACATACATATAGCTGATTATTTCCTCAGTCACAGACTGAATAGGTGGTCTGGTTGTATGTGCATATTCCTAATTTGCTTCCTGTACATTCATAGTAGGTATGGTACAGTAGAGTTTTAACTGTGGTATTTTTTATCCAGGTAATGTGTACACAGCGTGGACATCCTTCAAGAGATTTGTCCCCTTTCAGTATAAGCATAAATGGTAACAACATTGTTGTATGTAATAGAAACATGCTTACACTACACATGGGCACAAAAACTTTCCTCTGGGCATAGACATTTGCAGCATTTGCAGTAATAACATAACAACGGAACAATCAGTATTGACAGAATTGTAACTATGGTTATAAATTGTATTCACATTTACTTATCTGGACATGGTCCTCTTAGCTTCGGCTGTGTGTACACTAGTCAGCTTCCGGGATGTGACTAGAGCAGAGTTTGAAGAATCCTTAAGCTTCAGCCATGCTTAGACTGACCAGCCTCCAGTGTGGTCAGAGCAGGGCGGTTGTCCTTTTTACCGGTGGCTGAGATTTGCCATAGGGCTATTCGAGTGGGGCAATCTGGGTCTTGTTGGCTAATCCACAGGTTGTCATCAGGACTCGCTACTGTCACTGGTTTTAGATGGCTATGGTGAATCCAAGGTGTGGCACCTGCAACTTTAACAGCAGTGGGAGTAGACATGATTACAATATGGCGCCTATCGTATACGGGTCCTAGAGTGGTTGAATTCCATTTTTTACCTAAACGAAGTCCCTAGGTTTGAAAGGGTGTACTGGGTCTGTTAGACTTATAGGCATTTTTTTACATACTTAACCATGCATTTTAGTATAGCCATACTTAAAGCCTGCATTTGCCTTCTTAAAGTTAGTTTTCCCAATTTACAGAGATTACCCTGAATCTGATTTTTCTGGGGGGTGGGCAGCTGAACAAAATCTCAGAGGGCGAATACTCAGTTTTTTGGTGGGGGTGCACCTGACTCATAAGAGGACCATGGGCAAGACCTGATATTACTTCAGATGAGTTTTTCGACAAAATTTCTTCAACAGCTGCTTGAGTGTCCAGTTTATGCTCTCCACTTTACCTGAGATCTGCTACCTGTAGGCTGTATGTTATTTCCATTTTATTTTTAATAGTCGAGTTAAGTCCTGAACTATTTTAGCCACAAATGTTGGTCCATTCTCTGATCTTAGAGTTAGAGGCAGCCGAAATCTGGAAACAATGTCTCTTAACGCCTTGGTCACGTCTAGTGCCCTCTCTGTCCTGGTGGTAAAGGCCTTGAGCTATCCTGAAAAGGTGCAAATGAACACCAATATGTACTGATAGCCCCCGTCTCAGGGTCATTCAGTGAAGTCCATAAGCAGATTTTCACAGGGCATGGCTCCTTTTTCCTGAACTCCCATGGGCCGAGTAGGATCTTGTCGTGGATTGTTCCGAGTGTAAGTTAAACACAGTTTACAAATGGCCCGAGTAATAGCAATGAGCCATGGCAGATAAAAATGATGCCTTAATAGTGTCTTTATTTTTTTTTTAATCTGAGTTCGGTGGTGGAATTGTTTTACAAATCTGGGGGTCACCATTTCAGGTATGGCTAGCCTCCCATTGAAGAATTTGTATTATCCTCTTTCAATGTAGTTCTTATTTTCCTGGGGAAGCCAAGCTCTGTTATTTGGAGTGAAGATTGGGATCTCCAGGAGGGGAATCTCCGGGAGGAGAGGCATAGCTAAGGCGTCTTCTTTAGGTGGAGTTGTCATTGCAGCCTTCTTTGCCTCTTTGCCTTCGTATCTTTTTTAGCCCTTAGTGTTCTTGCTTTTTGCTGCCTCTTGCAGGACTTCACTACCGTCACTTTTGGGGCCCATACAGCGTTTAAGAGCTGTAGGATGTCTTCCTTGTACTTTATTTCTTTGTTTCCAGCAGTTAAAAGTCTTCTTTTTTTCTTTGTAAATAACCTTATGAACATGCAAAGTGGCAGAAGCATATTTGGAACCTGTATAAATATTGGTCTTTTGGTCTTTTGCTAGCCAGAGAACTCTTGTCAGAGCTCTTAGTTCTGCTTTCTAATCATGTTTCTGTAGATGAAGACTGCACCTCTACTGTTGAGTCTAAAGTCACCACTGCATACACAGCTTGGCGGGCTCCTTTTAGTATGAAACTGCTTCCATCAGTAGAATATTCAATGTTTGGGTCCCTGAGGGACTGATCTGTCAAATCTCTCTGGCTTGAGAACACTTCATCTACCACGTCCACACCACAATGAAACGGTCCTCCTGGCACTGACTCGATGAGAGTAAGGTAGCCGGATTTAGGGTATTCACAGTCTCTAAAGTTAGTTTACTAGCTTCCTGCACCAGTACGGCAGTGGCTGCTAGTGCTTTAAGACAAGGAGGCCATCCAAGTGCAAAAGAATCTAATTGCCTGGATAAATATGCCACCAGGCGATGCCATGACCTTATGGCTTGAGTCAGAACCCCTATGGCCTCCCTTTCACTTGTGCACATACAAGAAGAAAAGCTTGATTAGTTAGATCTGGCAGTCCTAAAGCTGGGGCCTGAGTCAAGGCTTCTTTGATTTCTTTAAAATCCTTCTCCTCTTTGGCCTCCTAGAGGAGGGGCTCCTTTTTTCCTCCTCTTAGTGGCTTGGTATGATGGCTTGACCATGAGCAAGAAATTTGGGTTGTAAACGCGGCAGAACCTTGCTGCTCTTAGAAACTCTCTTACTTGACACCGGGTGGTTGGAGTAGAAAGTGCACAAACAGCCTGCTTTTTTTCAGGACTAAGCCATCTTTCCTCTTGGCTTATATAAAAGCTTAAATATTAGACACTTTTAGAGGAGATTTGAGCTTTTTTCTGACACTTTTTATTCTGCCTTCTACAGCAGGTGCAGTGGTTCTTGCGTTTCTTCTGCGTGTAGTAGCCCTTGGCTGGTGTGTGTGTGTGATTTTTTGGTTCTGTTTTTTTGGGTTTTTTTGGTTTGTTTTTTGTTTCTTTTACTATTGCCCTGATCATTTTCATTATTTCTTTGACATTTATGCTTCCAGTGTCTTTCCTTTTGCACCATGCACATTAATCTCTCTCTAGCCTCGGCTGGCCTTCACACTCCTGTCCAGACTAGCCTTTTTCATGACTACGTTCACGCCCGCGTCCATGCCTCCTTGTAAAGCCAGCTCCTCTTCCCGGAAGGGCTGCTGCTAGTAAGTTAGCCTTTCTTAAGCCTGTGATCAGCCTTTTCCTTTGCCTCCTCATCTCGGTTAATTAACACCTTGGTTGTCACTTTAATAAGCTGAGTAGCATTCACGCCTACGGAGCTTGTAACTTCTGCAATTTATGCCTGATATCTCCTTGGGTCTGCCTTACAAGTGCTGGATTCACCCTGCACTTATTTTTGAGTAGCCTCAGGGTTAAACGGAGTGTACAATAAAAATGCCTCACAAAGTCTTTCATAGAACTTGCTGTGCTTTTATCTGCACCCTGAAGCATGTCTGAGATTTTTTAAAATATTGATTGCCTTTTTCTTTTACCATCCTTTAGCCTTTGCAGATGGGCTTCTCGGCACCTTTGCAGGTGCTGAATCTGGACTGCATCATCTGGGTCTTAGTGGGGGTCCTCCTGTCCTCTTAAGAGGCATGAGCATATCTTATGCACGACCAGACCTGAGACGGCCTGCCTGATTTTCGCTCTCATTTCACCTTCTCGGGTGAGACTGGCAGCATGTATCCATTTGAACTTAACTCCTTAGGGACAGTTACCTTGGTAAAGGGGGTAGATTGGAATGTAAGGAGGAGCGGTCTCTATTCTTTTCTGTGGTTGTGACAAAACCGGTTTTTCTGCCTTTTCTGAGATTTTTTCATTTGTCTTCAGCTGCTGGGGCAGCTGATTTTACTTTCACTTTTGGCTGGGAGGTGCTACAAGCCTCTGTGTCTCCTTTTAACTCTGTAGCTGCCAGAGCAGCTGATTTTCTCTTGCCGTGAGCTGCGAGCATTCTACAGTAAACTGCTAGGCAGGGCTGCATTCATTTAGCCATGAGTCAATATAAAGACTAGGTCTGAATGTCCTGGCTGTTCTCTGACCCTAGTCACCACCTTAAAACACACGGCCAATTTTTCTATAGTGCCTTTGGCAAGCCATCTGACACTAAAACAGGGCTATTCTAATTCACAGTATGTCCTTAACTTTTGAACACTCAGTTTCATCCTATAATCACCTCTAACTCTTTTTTTAAAATTCTTTATTATGCTTTTCAAAGGAGCCACTTTTGATGTTTTCACTCTCATTTCCTCTCTTGCAGTTCACTTTCACTCTGACTTTCACTCTTGAGTCCACCAGACCTGGTCCTATTGCGGGAGTTTCAGATGCTGCTTAGCCAGGACCATGCCTTCCCCTGTCGCAGACTGCTGCAGCTGTAAAGCTGGTACTATCAGCCATATGAAGCATCTTAGGTCTGATTTTCCCCACATTCGCCTCAGAGCACACAGCCACCACTAAGGGATCTGTGCCTCCCCATGTCGCTGCCCACATTGGCCTCTCCCAATGTAACAGGAAGAGCGGCAGACAAAACCCCTTGGACACTGAGTTAAAGAAAGAAGGTGTTTATTCACCTGGGAGCTTCAGCAAGACTTCTTTCCCAAGAGCTGAACCCTCCGAGTGAGCAATTCCTGTCCCTTTTAAGGGCTCACAACTCTAAGGGGGTCCGCATGAGAGGGTCACGATCTATTGAGCAAGCAGTGGGTATGTGACTGGGGGCTGCATACACTGGTAATTAGAAAGGTACTGAACAGGACAGGGATCTTCACAGTGCATTTTTTATACAAATAACCGATTAGGTCAGGGGTTGACCTTTAACTACCAGGCCCAGGGTGTGGCGCTGGGCTGTCTGCTTGTGGATTTCATTTCTGCCTTCTAGTTTTTACTTCTTCTTTCTTTGGAGGCAGAAATTGGGTATAAGACAATATGAGGGTTGGTCTCCTCCCTTATTTTCCCCCTTTGAGACTCTCACTCATTTTATTAGTGGGAGTTCTCACCTTCTTCCTCACTACCTATGTCTTCCTCTATCACAGATTGATAGTGATTCATGTAGTACACTCGTGCTGAAGCGTTCTGGTGAACTAGAGTTGCCATGAAAACTTTTACCACTTGAATGAGTACAGCTAGTAAGCAAGAGATCAGTAAGCAGGTTCCTATTACTACTATAGTTTCCATTATAAGAGTTTTAAATCCTTCTAGTGCCGGGAACCATTTTCAAACATGGCCTCAGTGTCAAATCGGTGCCACACCTGTACTGGCACATGTGCCAGTTTCATCATGTCTTTAACTATATCTTCGACTACTTGCCCCTGATCATCTATGTGCAGACAGCAAGTGGGCCTAATTACAGTCACTAAATTGGGCCTAATTACAGTCATAATCAATTTACTAAAATAACTAGACAGCAAGACAGGTTTCCAAACATTGGCAAATGTTTCAGGGAGAAAAAAATGCCCCACTAGAGAAGCATGGTTGTATCTCTGTGTGTACATACACACGGGGCCAGGCAGTTCTATGCATGATAGTCTGGGACTGTAAAAGTGACTATGCAAACCTTTACATTCTGTCACAGAACTTACAATTTAAAGTGAGCATCTTTTTCTGTGACTTAGAAATTGACTTTTTTTTTTTAGTTGGGAGCCACTTTTAGCAATTTTCCCTTTGTTGATACATAATAATAGTATATATTTGTGGTGCATGAGTGATATTTTGATACATGCATGCAATGTACAGTGATCAAATCAGGGTAATTAGAATATCCATCACCTCAAACATGGATATTATTTTCTTTGTGTTTGAAAAATTTCCTTTGTGTTGGGAGAATTTAAAGCCATCTCTTCTATCTATTTTAAAATATATTAAAAATTAGTGCTAACTGTAGTTATCCTACTGTGCTGTCAGACACTAGAAATTATTCCTCCTATGATAAAAAGTTTAGGCTGTATCCCATGGGTAGTAGGACACCACATGACTGAGTGGTCATCTGGGAAATTATCTGGATGACTTTGGAACATTCCTGGTTGAGCCAGGTGGCTGTTGCAACAAACTGTGGGGAAGCCCCTCCCCTAATGCCCCCTAAGCCAGCTGTCACTACATGACAGGAAACCTCCAAACCTGAGGGCCCCAGGAAACAATGACAGTCCCCACTCACATGCAACTTGTGCTGTGCTCAGTGCCCTCCACATTGAGCCTGATCTAGCTTTACCCGAGGGCTGTGAGGTGGGACAATCAGTATCCCTTTATTTTAAAAGGCTCAGTGAAGTTTTGGGCTTAATATGAGTGAAGTGATCCTAAAAGCTGACTCTGGGATCCCGGCTCCACCACTGACCAGTCCTGCAGGTGGCGAGAGTTGCCTCTCCTCCCCTCGATTTCATTTTGTCCTCTGTGAAGTGCAGCCGTGCTGATGACTCACATATCAGGGATACATGGGAACTGTCAATGAACGGAGTGCTCTACACAGTGCCTGGAGCTCAGAATGCAGATGAGGGAGGAGGGTGAGCCATAATTCTGAGGGAAGTCCCAACATAATTTAGCCCTTCCATCTAGTAGCCGGGCCCCAGTACAGAGTCCTATGTCAGTGACAGGGCAAACTGAGACCAGCTCAAACACAGCCTCTTCCTCAGCAGCAGGGCCCAACTAAGGCACTTGGTGTTTTGGTTCATTTCCTGCAGCTTCAATGTAAAGAATATTGTGAGACATTTGCTGGAACAACTGAAAATCAGAAGAAGAAGAGACAGCTCTTCTCCATCTCCCTGAGAGCTCTTCCCCAGAATGTGTTTATCCAGAGAGGAGGGGAAATATTTATTTTTCGTAAATAGTAAATGCTAGAGTCGAATATTATATGAAAATCTCATTCTACTACAAAATCGGAGTTGTGGTTGTGGTTCTTTTTATTTCACTTGTGTAAGCTTAAATGAGATACAGACTCTAACATTTCTCCTTGAATTATGAAATCCTAAAGAGTCGGCAGCATAATGTATGAGGAAGAAGAGAAAAGCAGTCATAGTTTCTGGCTGCCGGATAAGACACCCAGGTCCATTTTTCTCAGAGCATATGTTCATTTTAATATTAACCCAAGGAAAGAGTGAAGATAGATCATTCGAACTTGCAGAATTAATAATTTGAAGGTATTTTCACAAAGCATAGCGACAGTCTTGGAAATATAGATTTCTTTAAAAAGCAGTTGCAGAGATCAGGAGGATGAATACCTTTCTATGATTTTACAAAAAATAAATCAACTTCTGCTTCACTTGCTGAGGTTTCCTCTAAGCAACTATTAGGACATTGTTGTTTTTTCTTCCAACTCTGGAGTTGCATCAGGTCTATGTGGAAAAAAACATTATAAAATAAAATGACCAAAGTCAAAAGGAGAAGGCCAGGGAAAGTCTATTGACAATGGATGCAGGGCAGAAAGGAAGCTGCATTCTCAATCTTCTTCTGGTGTCCTGTGATTGAGCCTTTACCTTAGATGTAAATCCTCCCAGAGTTTTGTCTCTTACCTTAGAATTTCTATTCTTTTTTTAAGTTAGTTTCTTATCTAGAATGAAAGAATTGTAATGCCACTTTATGGCTACACCTGGGCCTTATTCTGTAAATATTTTTACTACCTATGAGGTAAAATTCCCAGCATTAGGGCAATTCTTTATCCAATTTTTTCTTTCTGAGACAGAGTCTTGCTGTGTCACCCAGGCTGGAGTACATTGGTACAATCTTGGCTCACTGTGATCTCCACCTCCTGGGTTCAAGAGATTCTGCTGCCTCAGGCTTCTGTGTAGCTGAGATTACAGGCACCCAGCTTCATGTCCAGCTAATTTTTGTACGTTTAGTATGTTTAGTAAATTTTGTATTTTTAGTTTCACTATGTTTGTCAGGCTGGTCTTGAACTCCTGACCTCCAATAATCTGCCCGCCTTGGCCTTCCAAAGTGCTGGAATTACAGGTGTGAACCAATTCTTTTTGAGGAATAAATTACCTAAAGGTCCTCAAGCCTTTCTGTCAGGCATATCTTGGCCTTTTCTCTCTGACTGGGGTCCGATGAATCACAGGTGGGCACTATTTTTCTATATTCCCAACCAGTGATAATCCTTGCTCTCTTTATTTCTAATTAAAAGAAATCCAAAATGGAGATAGTTATTTGAGAGGTCTCTAAAGACAACTAGGAGGACATGAGGAGTTGAATTAATACTCATACACACCCAGGTGGAATTTTACCTGTTCGAACTGGGAAAATTACAGATGTCCTAAAAAGGCAACTGCATTTGACTTGGATTGTTTATACCGAGCCTGATCACAAACCTCCTGAAGAGAAAGCTGTGCTGAATTAAGCTGATGATTGCCTAGATACAGTCTAAGCTGGCAATCAAACATTGTCCATCATAGACTGTGCTAAAATCTTTCACTTGTGTAAACTTGCAGTAAAACTTTATAAGTCCCTCCCTAACCTCATCTGAATGGAACATGATATAGCTTCTTGCTAAATTTGTGTCTCCCAAATAGCAATTTATAAAAAATCATGATTAAAATGCCTTTTATTTTATTTTCCACAGGGTCTGTTTTACTCCCATGTTATAAAATGCTTTTCTCAAGAAAGCATAGAGCCCATTCTCTTCTCTAGAGAGAATCGCAGCCTTGCAAAAGAGACAACTAAAAATACATACATATAAGTAGCAAGAATTTAAAACTCAAAATATTAAATATGTTACAAAAGTATACAAGCAATAGAATAAATAGGATGAATAGCAAAATGGATAAAATCAACTGTGAGTTGAAAGCCTGAAAGTTCAGGTGAAGGTGTTGAAAATGCTTCAGAAAAAACTAAGGAGATAAATATTTATAAAAATAAAGAGCTGGGCTCAGTGGCTCACACTTGAAATTTCAGCTGCTAGGGATGCTGAGGCCAGAGGATCAATTAAGGCCAGAAGTTTGAGACAAGCCTAAGCAAGACCTTGTCACTGAAAATGTTTTAAAAATTATTTTGACATTATAGCATGTAACTGTGGTCTCAACTACTTAGAAGGCTGAGGCAGGAGGATTACTTGAACTCAGGAAGTTGAGGTTACAGTGAACTATAATCATGCTACCGTACTCCAGCCTGGAGTGAGGCAAAATCTAGTCACATTAAAATAAAATAAAACAAAATAAAATAAAATAAAATAAAATAAAATATAATCTAGTCACGTTAAAATAAAGTACAATTATCAAGGACAAAAATAAAATTGTACAACTTGGCAATAGAAAAAAAATAGAGCATAGAGCAACTGGGGGAAAGGGGGTTGAAAGTATAATTTCCTTTTTATTTCCTTAGTTGGTCATTACTTAGACTTTTTCACTTAATTAAAATTTTCTTATACTTTGGTGCCCAGTTAACCCCAGAGCATTTTTAATTAATTGGTTTAGAGTTAGATACTCATATAAGCTTTCCACTGCAAATTACAAGAGCCAAATTTTAAATAAATGTTGGACCTCTAAATTTTCTATTTGCAATATTTAAGGAAATAAAAATTATAAAAAACACTTTGTAAAACATTTAGTATGTAACTGCTGTTTCTAACGTATAATAAATCCAATTATGGCAGAGACTCACTCTGTTGTTGAGAATCTCTCCATTATATGACTGCTGCTTGTGGTGCTTAAACCTCAGGAAGAAAGAATATATGAATGTCTGAACATTGCTTTAAAAAGACAATGTACATTTAATGTAGAGATATGTGACCAGCTTAGAAAGCTGCACTTTTTCCACAGCAGGCAAACCAGAGCCTGGATACCCCAGGGTCACAGCTCATGAGAACATAGGGCTGGACTGTGAGAAAACAAGAAGCAATTAGTGCAGAGGAGTTGACAAGACACCAACTGGGCTGAGAAAAAAGAGCTGATAGATTAATTTCCAAATTATACTACAAAACATACAATAAGCAGACCCCATAGCTTTATACATTAAAACCAAATGATGACAAAGAGTGAGGATTGCATTAAATTAAATTAGGAGCAACTAAAGACTGGTTTATGATCTTGAAACTTTAGTCACTCTCCATAGTTCCATCCCATGACCCGGTAATTATTTCCTGCTTTCTGCATGCCTTGGACACTGGTCCATTTCTGGCCCCAAAGTGTTCCTTTTTCTAATAGGAGTACTTACTTCATCTCTTAATACAATTCCTTTCCTTGCATACTGTGCCCCAAAGAAGAAATATTAAAAACTTTCCTGATGTTTTTCTGCTGCGGGGTTAATGGGCTCAGAGTGATGATAAGAACGGCCAATGAGTGTGTGGAGCCAGATAGTGCTTAAAATATGGACTTCAGTCCAGTGAAGTCTAACAAGATTGGCACCTGAGCACTCTTCTCTGAGACCTGAGGATGGACTCACTGAACCTGGAGCTACTAACGCAGCTGATACCCACATATATACACCACCTGTGTTCCTAGAAACTGGCCTTCCCAGCCCATCACAGCAAACACCAACACCAGCATGGAATGCTTGGGAGTCAGAGGTTTTTCTTGTCGTTGCTACTGCCATCATCCATGCCATAACCACTGTCCAGGGGCTCAAGAAGCTGCCCACCCACCTTGCTCACTGCTGACACCTGAGCAAATCACATGAAGGCCAAATAATTAGTCTTCCTGGACCTGTTAACACTGCTGCCAGCATAACTGCCTTGAGACCCAAAAGCAGGCATGGTAAGCTCACCACTGCCATCACTGGGATCCAATGACTAAACCTCTGGTGCCCCTATTCCCAGCAAAACTTTACCACAGCCTCTGCTAAAAACGATACCCTAAGCCGCTGAGAAAGGTACAGACACCACTGATACTCTTTAGAGCCAAAGAAATCATATAAAGACAGGCCGGGTATTGTGGCTCATGCCTGTAATTCCAGCACTTTGGGAGGCCAAGGCCAGTGGCTCGCTTGAGGCTAAGAGTATGATACCAACCTGGGGAACATGGCAAAACCCTGACTCTACTAAAAACACACAAATTTGCTGGGCATAGTGGTAGGCACCTGTAATCCCAGCTACTTGGGAGACTGAGGCACGAGAATCGCCTGAACTCAGAGGTGGAGCCTACAGTGAGCCGAGATAGTGCCACTACACTCCATCCTGGGCAACAGAGCAAGGTTCTATCTTAAAATATATACACATACAGAGTTTAAAGTCTGTGCTCTCCTCTCCTCAGCTGCCTTGTGACTGTGTAAGTGTATGTTTGGGAAGGGAGGGATAGGATGAGGACAGGCCAGCAGAGAGTCACCAGCACTGGCTAAAGGTCTCAGACCAAATTTTATACTCTTGACCAGGAGAAACTTCTCTGTTATTCTAATCACATTAAACTCAAGCATTTTCTTTTTTTCTTTCTTTTTTTTGAGAAATCACATCGAACTTCCAAAATTATAAAGTTGAAAATATGTAATAATTGACAATTGGAAACAAGAAAGAGGATTAGCTATAAAAATAACTCAGGACAATGTATTTATCATGAAAAGATGGTCTTGGTGGAAGAAAGTTTCATGCCCAGCCAGCCCATTCTTCAATATCTGCTAAAAAAAAAAGAGCAAAGGGAACTTAAAGACATCATAGACTTGGAAATTTCGTCTCACAGTGCATTAAATTCCCAAATCACATGTGGAAGAGAAGAAGCTGCTGCATATTAGACTAACTAGTTTTACTGAATGTTGTCTGTTGATTTAAAAATTAATACTCTTATCAAGAGCAAATTGAAATACTGAAAGTTATTTACTAAACAGCAAAGAATATTTTCAGTATATAAAAAGATTTAAAAAAACGTTGACACCTTAACTAAATCTGACACAAATTTAAAAGGAAAAGTAACTAGAAAATGAAAGAAGCGTCGTACAAGTATGCGATGCACCCTCTGTTGCACCAACTGCTCCTGTTTGTTGAGTCCCCTCTTCTATTCTGCCTCCTCCATCTCCTTGCTGATTCCCCTTTTTGTCTATTTTAATTTCTCTCTCTATTCCTTTCTCAGGTCACCATGTCACATTCCTTTTGTGTCTTTTGATGTCCAATCTCACCGACACCACCTTCATTCTCTATTTTATCTTTACAAATGGTTAATTAGGCATAAAGAGGGAAAACACTCCTGGGAAGATACCTGAATCCTGGTGCACACTATCATTATCACTGTTTTTCATGTTGATGCTCATGTGTCTCTGCTTTCTCGACAGACTATTTAATCAGCAGACAGATCAACAGGCCAAAATTTCCACCATAGTTGCAAATTTGAATGCGGATGAATGGATTAAAACACATTCAAGTCTTGCAATGAACGGCATAATGTATGGTGGTATAATTCAGAGTGGTTACAGGGGAGAGTTAAAGATCATTTTATACAATGTCACTCGAGAATCTTTTGCTGTAAAACTGCAGATGTGGGTTCCTCAATTTTTAGTGGTACCTTGTCAACAATTAACCCCTGAGGATGTCTCTGCCCCAACAGAGGCTACATACAGAACTGGGAGATTCAGACGCACTGGTACACGTAGCTTAAATCCTGGAGCCAAAATATGAGTACAGCGTCCATCACATCCTACTCCTATGGCTGGTGAACTTGTAGCTATGGGAGAAGAAACTGAAGGCATAGTACAGTTTCCTAAAGATGAAAAACAATATTATGTTCCCCTCTGTTTTGGTTATTACAGAGAATAACCTGTTTACTAATGGTCAGTACCTGTGTCTCTGTGTCTGATGCCAAGAATAAATTCATCATCTGCATAGCCACCACTGCAACAGAAGCCAACTGCAGTCAATGTTGGCTATGCGTGGAATTGCCAGAGGCCACCAAAAATGGGCTACGTTGGAGAATCGTCCCTGTACCTTACTGCATACCGAATGTTGTGTGTATATCCCTGACAATTGTCACACTACGACTCTCCTTGCACAGCCATGGTGGGTGTGGTTTTCATTAACTGTGCTTTTAATTCTCCTGTGCTTACCCTGAGTCTGTAATCTGTATCAACTATGCTTTCCCCAAGTATCTGTAAGGGTATTTTCCTACAATTGAGTATCAAATTGAAGCCAAATTTGGAAGAAAAGTTAAATATTCAATTTTATCTCAATTGAACATGGACACAAACAATGGTCACCAAGTCCCGGAACAGGTTCTGTGAGTTTCTTCAGGCGTTCATCCACCAGTGTCTCAGAGAAATTTCTATTTTAATCTGTTCCTGTATGTTAGTTATTGAAAAACAACAGACAATCGCCAAAAATTTGACATTTTTGTGGTTTTTGAGCCCAGTAGTGAAGAGTCCTCGTTACCCGGCCTTATGCCAAAGAACTCCTTACAAAAAGAGCTAGGGTCCCAGATGGCACTAGAGCTTCCTGAGACCTCTCCTCATCTCTGCAGGGATGAGGGGCCAACTCTGTAGCCCAGGCTGTTGCTTCCCGGTCTGTTGATGAATCCTCCATAGTCTGGTGAGTGTAGTGTCTGACTCTGGAGCCCAGGCTATTGCTTCTCTGTCTGGTGATGCTTCCTCCATACTCTGTAGTCTGCTGTGTGTAAACATATGTATATATATATATACATATATATGTATATAATTTATACATATAACTGTAAATAAAAATAATTGTATAATGTACATAATTATTTAAATAAATAAATGTAAATAAATACATATATAATTTTATATATATTATATATATTTATATATATAAAAATATATATATTTTTTCCCTTCTCATATCAATTTGCTTATCATATCATTTACTTATTATATCTGTATTGCCATATAATTGAGACAAAAGATGTTTACCCTTAAAAGTATTGTGTGTGCCTTTTCTTCTTCCTCATGCATCTCCCATGCAGAACACATGCCTGACAAATTTTTATATTTTTAGTGGAGACTGGGTTTAGCCATGTTGGCCAGGCTGATCTCAAACTCCTGACCTCAGGTGATCCTTCCATCTCGGCATCCCAAAGTGCTGAGATTATAGGCATGAAACACCCAGCCAGGAGGAGGCATTTCTACAAAGAAAACATACAAATGGCAAACAGGCATATAAATGTTGCTAAACATCATTAAACCTCAGAGAAATGCAAATCAGAACTACAATAAGATATTATCTCACTCCAGTTAAAATGTCTTATATCCCAAGACAGACAATAACAAGTGCTGACGAGGATGTGGAGAAAACTTTAGTGCACTCTTGGTGGGAATGTAAATTAGTATAACCACTATAAAAAAGTGTGGAGGTTCCTCAAAAAGCTAAAAATTGAGCTGCCACAGCTACAATGCAACCCAACAATCCCAGTGATGGGCATTGACACAAAAGAAAGAAAATCGGCTTGTTGCTGCACTGTTTACAATAGTTAAGATTTGAAAGCAAACTGTCTACAAATGAATGAATGTATAAAAAAAGTAGTACATATATACATTGGAGTAGTATTCAGCCATAAAAATGAGATTTTGTCTTTTACGACAACATGGATAAAAGAGAAGAGTATGTTAAGTGAAATAAGCCAGGCACAGAAAGATAAACACTGTGCGTTCTCACTTATTCGTGGGATGGAAGAATTAATACAACTGAATTCACGGACATAGAGAGCAGAAGGATGGTTTTCAGAGGCTAAGAAAGACAGTGGAGGCTGGGGGAAAGGTGGGGACTGTTAATGTGTACAAAAAAATAGAATAAATAAGACATATTATTTGATAGCACAACGAGATGACTCTGGTCAATAATAATGTAATTGTGCATTTTAAACTAGCTAAGAAGGAATAATCAGATTTTAACCCAAAGAATAAATGCTTGAGTGGGTGGATATCCCATTCTCTATGATGTGATTATTATGCATTGCGAGACCGCATCAAAACATCTCATGAACCCCATAAGTATATACACCTACAATGCATCCTCAAAAATTACAAATTAACTGAAGTAAATAAAATAAAACTATTTAAAAATAAAATATCATAACATTAACTAGCCCCAGAAATATAAGATTTTAATGAAATAAAAATGCCTCTATAATAATCAAACAGTGAGAAGAAAGTCACACTTTACTCCTATTTTTGTTTCTGATCTATCTTCTATCTAGTTTCAAGTTGTAGAATTTTCTTTTTTCATTTCTAATTAAATTTTATTTTATTTTATTTTTTTATTATACTTTAACTTTTACGGTACATGCGCACAACATGCAGGTTTGTTACATATGTATACATGTGCCATGTTGGTGTGCTGCACCCAGTAACTCGCCATTTAACATTAGGTATATCTCCAAATGCTATCCGTCCCCCCTCACCCTACCCCACAACAGGCCCCGGAGTGTGATGTTCCCCTTCTTCTGCCCATATGTTCTCTTTGGTCAATTCCCACCTATGAGCGAGAACATGCGGTGTTTGGTGTTTTGTGCTTGGATAGTTTGCTCAGAATGATGGTTCCAGCTTCATCCATGTCCCTATAAAGGACATGAACTCTTCATTTTTTATGGCTGCATTTTGTTCCATGGTGTATATGTGCCACATTTTCTTAATCCAGTCTATCATTGTTGGACATTTGGGTTGGTTCCAAGTCTTCGCTATTGTGAACAGTGCCGCAATAAACATACTTGTGCTTGTGCCTTTATAGCAGCATGATTTATACTCCCTTGGGTGTATACCCAGTAATGGGATGGCTGGGTCAAATAGTATTTCTAGTTCTAGAGCCCTGAGGAATCGCCACACTGACTTCCACAATGGTTGAACTAGTTTACAGTCCCACCAACCGTGTAAAAGTGTTTCTATTTCTCCACATCCTCTCCAGCACCTGTTGTTTCCTGATTTTTTAATGATCGCCATTCTAAGTGGTGTGAGATGGTATCTCATTGTGGTTTTGATTTGCATTTCTCTGATGGCCAGTGACGATGAGCATTTTTCCATGTGTCTTTTTGCTGCATAAATGTCTTCTTTTGAGAAGGGTCTTCATATCCTTCACCCACTTTTTGATGGGGTTGTTTTTTTCTTGTAAATTTGTTTGAGTTCATTGTAGATTCTGGATATTAGCCCTTCGTCAGATGAGTAGATGGCACAAACTTTCTCCCATTCTGTAGGTTGCCTGTTCAGTCTGATGGTAGTTTCTTTTGCTGTGCAGAAGCTCCTTAGTTTAATTAGATCCCATTTGTCAATTTTGGCTTTTGTTGCCATTGCTTTTGGTGTTCTAGACATGAAGTCCTTCCCCATGCCTATGTCCTGAATGGTATTGCCTAGGTTTTCTTCTAGGGTTTTTACGGTTTTAGGTCTAACATTTAAGTCTTGAATCCATCTTGAATTAATTTTTGTATAAGGTGCAAGGAAGGGATCCAGTTTCAGCTTTCTACATACGGCTAGCCAGTTTTCCCAGCACCATTTATTAAATAGGGAATCATTTCCCCATTTCTTGTGTTTGTCAGGTTTGTCAAAGATCAGATGGTTGTAGATATGTGGCATTATTTCTCAGGGCTCTGTTCTGTTCCATTGGTCTATATCTCTGTTTTGGTACAAGTACAATGCTGTTTTGGTCACTGTAGCCTTGTAGTATAGTTTGATGTCAGGTAGCGTGATGGCTCCAGCTTTGTTCTTTTGGTTTAGGATTGACTTGGCAATGAGGGCTCTTTTTTAGTTCCTTATGAACTTTAAAGTAGTTTTTTTCTAATTCTGTGAAGAAAGTCTTTGGTAGCTTGATGGGGATGGCATTGAATCTATAAATTACCTTGGGCAGTATGGCCATTTTCACGATATTGATTATTCCTACCCATGAGCATGGAATGTTCTTCCATTTGTTTGTATCCTCTTTTATTTCATTGAGCAGTGGTTTGTAGTTCTCCTTGAAGAGGTCCTTCACGTCCTTGTAAGTTGGGTTCCTAGGTATTTTATTCTCTTTGAAGCAATTGTGAATGGGAGTTCACTCACGATTTGGCTCTCTGTTTGTCTGTTATTGGTGTATAAGAATGCTAATGATTTTTGCACACTGATTTTGTATCCTGAGACTTTGCTGAAGTTGCCTATCAGCTTAAGGAGATTTTGGGCTGAGATGATGGGGTTTTCTAGATATACAATCATGTCATCTGCAAACAGGGACAATTTGACTTCCTCTTTTCCTAATTGAATACCCTTTATTTCCTTCTCCTTCCTGATTGCCCTGGCCAGAATTTCCAACATTGTGTTGAATAGGAGTGGTGAGAGAGGGCATCCCTGTCTTGTGCCTGTTTTCAAAGGGAATGCTTCCAGCTTTTGCCCATTTAGTATGATATTGGCTATGGCTTTGTCAGAGATAGCTCCTATTACTTTGAGATACGTCTCATCAATTCCTAATTTATTGAGAGTTTTTTGCAGGAAGAGTTGTTGAATTTTGTCAAAGGCCTTTTCTGCATCTCTTGATATCTCAAGATAATCACATGGTTTTTTTGTCATTGGTTCTGTTTATAAGGTGGATTACGTTTGTTGATTTGTGTATGTTGAACCAGCCTTGCATCCCAGAGATGAAGCCCACTTGATCATGGTGGATAAGCTTTTTGATATGCTGCTGGATTCGGTTTGCCAGTATTTTATTGAGGATTTTTGCATAGATCTTCATCGGAGATATTGGTCTAAAATTCTCTTTTTTTGTTGTGTCTCTGCCAGGCTTTGGTATCAGGATGATGCTGTCCTCATAAAATGAGTTAGGGAGGTTCCCTCTTTTTCTATTGATTGGAATAGTTTCAGAAGGAATGGTACCAGCTCCTCCTTGTACCTCTGGTAGATTTTGGCTGTGAATCCATCTGGTCCTGGACTTTTTCTGGTTGGAAAGCTAATTATTAATTATTGCCTCAATTTCAGAGCCTGTTATTGGTCTATTCAGAGATTCAAATTCTTCCTGGTTTAGTCTTGGGTGGGTGTATGTGTCGAGGAATTTATCCATTTCTTCTAGATTTTCTAGTTTATTTGCATAGAGGTGTTTATAGTATTCTCTGATGGTAGTTTGTATTTCTGTGGGATCGGTGGTGATATCCCCTTGGGTTTAATAAACAGATAACATCAAACATTCAACTAATCCAATAAAAAGAAATTTTATTCATTTGAGAATGTGTTTTCCAGAGCATACTTATATATTACGTTTTAACTTCATAATTTATATTTTATAAAAACATAACTAATTCAAGTTAATCTTCTCTAATTTTTAATTCAATTGAATTTTTATCAGGATCACTATATTTAAACAAAAATTACCTGAATTTTTCACATCATAATTTATAGATTCTGCTTCTACAAATTGTCTGTAGGGACCATTATTTCTACACGGTCTACTTTCCTGGGTTAAGTGGTGGATACCCAAATGTTTTTGGGAATAATGTTTTCTTATATCAGTTTTTAGTCAGTGATACGTTGCACCATGTTTAATTTTAAGCATTATCAGTTTTCTTTTTTTTTTTTAATTGATCATTCTTGGGTGTTTCTCGCAGAGGGGGATTTGGCAGGGTCACAGGACAATAGTGGAGGGAAGGTCAGCAGATAAACAAGTGAACAAAGGTCTCTGGTTTTCCTAGGCAGAGGACCCTGTGGCCTTCCGCAGTGTTTGTGTCCCTGGGTACTTGAGATTAGGGAGTGGTGATGACTCTTAAGGAGCATGCTGCCTTCAAGCATCTGTTTAACAAAGCACATCTTGCACCGCCCTTAATCCATTCAACCCTGAGTGGATACAGCCCATGTTTCAGAGAGCACAGGGTTGGGGGTAAGGTCACAGATCAACAGGATCCCAAGGCAGAAGAATTTTTCTTAGTACAGAACAAAATGAAAAGTCTCCCATGTCTACCTCTTTCTACACAGACACGGCAACCATCCGATTTCTCAATCTTTTCCCCACCTTTCCCCCCTTTCTATTCCACAAAACCGCCATTGTCATCATGGCCCATTCTCAATGAGCTGTTGGGTACACCTCCCAGACGGGGTGGTGGCAGGGCAGAGGGGCTCCTCACTTCTCAGTAGGGGCGGCTGGGCAGAGGCGCCCTTCACCTCCCGGACGGGGCGGCTGGCCAGGCGGGGGGCTGACCCCCCCACCTCCCTCCTGGACAGGGCGGCTGGCCGGGCGAGGGGCTGACCCCCCAACTTCCCTCCCGGATGGGGTGGCTGGCCGGGCAGAGGGGCTCCTCAGTTCCCAGTAGGGGCGGCCGGGCAGAGTCGCCCCTCACCTCCCGGACGGGGCGGCTGGCAGGGCGGGGGGCTGACCCGCCCACCTCCCTCCCCCCCAGAAGGGGTGGCTGGTCGGGCGGGGGGCTGATCCCCCACCTCCCTCCCAGACGGGGCGGCTGGCCGGGCAGAGGGGCTCCTCACTTCCCATCAGGGGCTGCCGGGCAGAGGCGCCCCTCACTTCCCGGATGGGGCGGCTGGCCAGGCGGGGGGCTAACCCACCCACCTCCCTCCCGGAGGAGGCGGCTGGCCGGGCGGGCGGCTGACCCCCCACCTCCCTCCCGCATGGGGTGGCTGGCCAGGCAGGGGGCTGACCCCCCCACCTCACTCCCGAACGAGGTGGCTGCCAGGCGGAGATGCTCCTCACTTCCGAGACGGGGTGACTGCCGGGCGGAGGGGCTCCTCACTTCTCAGACGGGGTGGTTGCCAGGCAGAGGGTCTCCTCACTTCTCAGACGGGGCGGCCGGGCAGAGACATTCCTCACATCCCGGACGGGGCGGCAGGGCAGAGGTGCTCCCCACATCTCAGATGATGGGCGGCCGGGCAGAGACGCTCCTCACTTCCCAGATGTGATGGCGGCCGGGAAGAGGCGCTCCTCACTTCCTAGATGGGATGGCGGCCGGGCAGAGACGCTCCTCACTTTCCAGACTGGGCAGCCAGGCAGAGGGGCTCCTCACATCCCAGACGATGGGCGGCCAGGTGGAGACGCTCCTCACTTCCCAGACGGGGTGGCAGGCGGGCAGAGGCTGCAATCTCGGCACTTTGGGAGGCCAAGGCAGGCTGCTGGGAGGTGGAGGTTGTAGCGAGCCGAGATCACGCCACTGCACTCCAGCCTGGGCACCATTGAGCACTGAGTGAACGAGTCTCCGTCTGCAATCCCGGCACCTCGGGAGGCCGAGGCTGGCGGATCACTCGCGGTTAGGAGCTCAGCCCGGCCAACACAGCGAAACCCCGTCTCCACCAAAAAAATACGAAAACCAGTCAGGCGTGGCGGCGCGCGCCTGCAATCGCAGGCACTCGGCAGGCTGAGGCAGGAGAATCAGGCAGGGAGGTTGCAGTGAGCCGAGATGGCAGCAGTACCATCCAGCTTCGGCTCGGCATCAGAGGGAGACCGTGGAAAGAGAGGGAGAGAGAGACCGTGGGGAGACGGAGAGGGAGAGGGAGAGGGAGAGGGAGAGCTATCAGTTTTCTTTCTTGTGCATTATTTTCACAGTAATATAAATTATGGACATCAAAATATCCTCAGGGTTAAAAATGTTGGAGTCCAAGCATTCTATATTCTTGATTTGTATGGTTTCAATTATGACTCAGCATTTTAGGAAAACATTGGCTCTATAATCTGTCACCCTCACCCCATTTAAATAAAAACATACTTTTTTGGACACAAGGATCAGGCATACACATCTACACAGTGGATCACATCATTTTTGGGGGCAAACTGAAAACTGTTTTTATACTCAAACATACTGTTGGGAAACTGTGAAATAAAAATTTCTGATGTTTGTTAAAAATTGGGAAGAAAGACATTAATACTATTGTAGTAGATTTTATGGCCATCGTAATAGGGTTCAGTTCAGAAATTGATCATAACTCTGAACACAGACAACGAAGAATTTATAGTCAATAAGCAGAATAAATCAGTGGATAAGAATTATTGAAAAACATTTGATAAAATACCAAAGGAGGAAGAGGAACTTTTTATAGCAGAAGCCTGGTTACAGGTTGGCTAAGGACTTAAATATCAAAGAAAGGGAATCACGATATTAGTAGACATAAGGGATATGTGGATTTTTACTAAACAGTATTAGCAGGATTTATGAAAGTGAGCCTCTCAAACCAGGAGCAGGGCAAGAAGTCAAGGTTGGCTTAGTCAAAAAGAGGGTTCAGTTAAGCTTGACTAACATTTGGTCATAAAGGGAGTGCTTACAAGAACCCAGATTTTTTTCCCATCTGATCTGTAAATAAATAATCACCAAAAAAGGCTTTGTTTGAAAAATGAGTGCCCACTTCACCTGAGAAAACCTCCATCTTCTTCTGTTTACCTTTGAATTTAGTGTAGAAAAAGAGCACTTGTCATTGCCACAGTTTTAATTTTGCTTTCACTCTTAAAAACAGAGAGTCAGGGCTGGGTGTGGTGGTTCATGCCTGTAATCCCAGCATTTTGGGCATGGTGATGCAAGCACACCTGTAATCCCAGCTACTTGAAAGGCTGAGGCAGGAGAATCACTTGAACCCAAGGGTCAGAGGTTGCAGTGAGCCAAAATCACACCACTGCACTCCAGCCTGGTGACAGAGTGAGACTCCATCAAACAAAACAAAACAAAACAAAACAAAACAAAACACAAAATTAGAAATTTAGTTTTATTCAAACAGCAACTTACAAACACAAAGGTTATAGTTTCTGACCCCTATTCAAGACAATTGGTTGTAACCATAAGTATTGATGGGACTTCAGGGAGATTCCTCAGATGGAGCTGATGCAGCTGTGCAAGCCACTTTGACCTTGCATCTTTCCTACTTCTTAGCCTTTGAAATGGACATGGTTGCTGGTGCAGGCTTATGCTCCTACAGCCAGCCATATGGGACCATGAGACAGCCTACAGGATAAAAACCATCTACTGAAATATTGTAGCAAAGTGTGCCAAGAGGGCTGACTAGAAGTAGCTATGGTGTGTGGCTTTCATGAAAAGAAACAAAGAGGGAAAATAAATACAGCACCATCAACTGAAACACCCAGATATTTGCAGTGGGACTAATGAAGGAAACAGCTCAACCCATGGGAAAAAGAAGGGCATGGCAAACGCCCACCCGGGAGTAACACAGACCAAAGGGAACCTACCCTGCCCAAGGAAGTGGTGAGCAAATACGTGACCCTGAGAAACCACACTTCTCCCATGGATCTTTGCAACTCTCGGGTCAGGAGATTTTCTCGTAAACTTATTCCACCAGGGCCTTTGGTCTGATACACAGAGCTGCGTGTTCCCGGCAGAACAACTGCTCAGACACAAACAGAATCGCAGGAGCTTTACATACTTTGGCTCTGAGATCTCTGGCAAAGGTGACTGCAACTCAGACAAGGTGGGAGGTTGGATCTCCGTAAATGCCCCTAGAAAGGAAGCTGAATCCATGGGCCTGAGCAGCATCAGTGGGCCCCACTTCCATGACGCCTCACAGGATAAGACCTACTGGCTTGGAATTCCATCCAGCCCCCAGCAACAGCATTGCAATTACCTGGGATGGAACAACGTTCCTGGAGGCAGGGGCTGGCTGCTATATTTGCTGTTTGGATGACTCAGCCATTCCAGCCTGGAGGTTTAGGAGAGTTAAAAAAAAAAAAACTCATGGCAGATGGAAGAAATCCCTTAGCACGGCACATTGGCCCTCCCAAAGTTTGGCCGGACTACTTCTTGAAGTGGGACCCAGATACCTTTTTCATCTCAGAGTGGGGCCTCCTACCAGAGCCTCCAGACAGCCCCTTCCATATTCTCCGGCAGGCAGAGTTTTGATTTATTCCTGGATGCAGTGCACATTGGGAGCAGTGGGTCTTCATATTTGTTGTTTGGAGAACTCAGCCATAACAATCAGTGGGCTTAGGAGAGTCCAAACCATCCCAGGGAAGAAGGAATCCCCCAGCATAGCACAGTGGATCTGCCATAATGTGATCAGATTGCTTCTTTAAGTGGGACCTAATATGCTCTGCATCTCTGGGTGGAACTTCCCAACTAGGGCCTCCAGCAACTCCCACTGATGTTGTCTGGCTGGCAGAGGTTTAAAAACTTCCTGGGCCAGAGTTCCTAGAGAGAGGGGTTGGCCACCATCTTTGCTGTTTCAGCCTCCAGGCTTTGGAGAGCCCAATCTGATGAAGGGCAGAAATGGTACCCCGCACAGCATGGCTGATCTATGAAAGTGGGGCTAGATGGCTTAAGTGGGTCCCCAATCCTATTCCTCCTAGCTGGGTGAGACCTACCAACTGGGGTTTCCAGTCACCTCCTACAGGTGTGTTCGAGCCCTCAACATGTCTGCACCCGCCCTGGGATGGAGCTCCCAGGGAAGGGAGTGGGCTGCTATCTTTCTTGTTTCACAGCCTTCACTGGTGATACCCCCAGATACTGGAAAATCCGAGGTGACAAGAGAGTGGAGCAGATGCCCAACAAACTACAGCAGCCCCACACAAAATGGCCAAACAGTTAAAAGGAAGAGAAACAAACAAAAATCTCATTCAAAGGCCAGCAACCTCAAATATTAAAGATAGATAGGCACACAAAGGTGAGAATCACAACAAGAATACTAAAAACTCAAAAATCAGGGTGCTCTCCCTCTCCCAAACGACCACACTACTTCTCCAGCAAGAGTTCAGAATAAGGGTGAGGCTGTGATCCCTGAAATAACAGAAGTAGACCCCAGAATGTGGATAAAAATGAACTTCACTGATCTAAAGGAGCATGCTCTAACTCAATACAAGAAAGCTAAAAATTACAATATAATATTGCAGGAGCTGACAAACAAATTAGCCAGGATAGAGAGGAGCCTAACCAACCCGATAGCACTGTAAAACACAATACAAAAATTTCATAATGCAATCACAAGTATTAATGAGGAAAGAAACTCAGAGCTTGAAGTTTGTATTTCTGAAAGAAGACATGCAGAGAAGAATAGAAAAAAAGAATGAAAGGAATAAACAAAACCTTTGAGAAATATGGGATTATGTAAAGAGACCAAATCTACAACTGATTGGTGTACTTGAAAGAGCTGGGGAGAATGGAACCAATCAGGAAAACATATTTCAGGATATCATCAATGAGAACTTCCCCAACCTTGCTACACTGGCCAACAATTCAGAAAATGGAGAGAAGTTCAGTAAGATACTCCAAGAAAAAATCATACCCAAGACACATAAACGTCAGATTCCCCAAACTTGAAATGGAAGAAAAAAAAAGAAAAAAAAGCTCAGCCGCAGAGAAAAGCCAAGTCACCTACAAAAAGAAGTTGATCAGACTAAGAGCAGAGCTGTCAGTGAGAACCCTACAAGCCAAAAGAGATTGGGGGCCAATATTTAACGTTCTTAAAGAAAATAAACTTTAAGCCAGAATTTTATATCTGGCCAAACTAAGCTTAATCTGGGGAGAAATAACATCCCTTTCAGACAAGCAAATTCCGAGTTAATTCATGAACACCAGACATGCTTTTCAAGAGCTCCTGAAGGAAGCACCAATTTGGAAAGGGAAAATTATTCCCAGCCACCACAAAAACACACTCAAGTACACAGACCATTGACACTATAAATCAACCACATAAACAAGTCTGAAAAATAAAAATAACCAGCTAGCATCAAGATAACAAGATAAAATCTACGCATAACAATACTTACCTTAAATGTAAATGGGATAAATGCCCCAGTTGAAACACACAGGGTGGCAATTGTATAAAAACCAAGACCCATTGGTATGCTCTTCAAGACACCCATCTCACATGCGGGGACACACATAGGCTAAAAATAAAGGGATGGAGGAAATTTCACCAAGCAAGTGGAAAACCTAAAAAAGCAAGGGTTGCAGTCTTACTTTCCAACAAAACAGACTTTAAAGCAACACAGATTAAAAACAACAACAACAACAACAACAAAGAGGGTCATTACATAACGGCAAATAATTCAATTCAACAAGAATTAACTATTCTAAATATATATGCACCCAACACAAGAGTACCCAGATTCATATAACAAGTTTCTAGATATCTTGAAAGAGACTTAGAACACCACACAATAATAGTGACCGACTTTAACATCCCACTGACAGTATTAGAAAGATTATTGAGACAGAAAATTAACAAAGATGTTCAGGACCTGAACTTAGCTCTGGATCAAATGGACATGATATATATTTACAGAACTCTCCACATGAAAACAGCAGAATATACATTCTTCTCATCACTACATGACACTTTCTCTGAAATTGGTCACTTAGCCAGAAGTAAAACACTCTTCAGCAAATGCAAAAGAACTGAAATCATAATAAACAGTGGCTCAGATCACAGCACAATCAAATTAAAACTCACGATGAAATAATTTACTGAAAACCATAAAATTAAATGGAAATTGAATCACCTGCTCCTGAATAACTTTTGGGTAAATAATGAAATTAAGGCAGATATCAAGGAGTTCTTTGAAACCAATGAGAACAAAGACAAAACATACCAGAATCTCTGGGACACAGCTAAGGCAGTATTAAGATGAAAATTTATGGCATTAAATGCCCACATTAAAATGCCAGAAATGTCTCAAGTTACAACTTCACAACAAAAATAACTACAGGAACAAGAGCAAAGAAGTTCTAGAGCTAGCAGAAGACAAGAAATAACCAAAATCAGACCTGAACTGATGGAGATAGGGACAAGAGAAACCATTCAACAGATCAACAAATTCAGGAGCTGTTTCTTTTTCTTTGAAAAAACCAATAATATAAATACACCAGTAGTAGACTAATAAGGAAGAAAATATCAAAAATTAAAATGAACACAATCAGAAATAATAAGGGTTACCACTGACCCCACAGAAATAAAAATAACCATCAGAAAATATCATAAACACCTCTATGCCTATAAGATAACAAATTCAGTAGAAATGGATAAATTTCTGGACACATACACCCTTCAAGAATAAACCAGGAAGAAATTGAATCCCTGAAAAGACAAACAACAGGCTCTGAAATTCAGGCAGTAATAAATAGCCTACAAACCACAAAAAGATCAGAAACACAAAGATTAAAAGCTGAAGGTTATGACATTTATGAAGAAGAACTGGTACAATTCCCACTAAAATTATTTCAAAAAACTGAAACAGAGGGCTTCCTTCCCGACTCTTTCTATGAGAGCACATCATCCTGGTACCAAAACCTGGCAGACACACAAGAAAAAAAACAAAACTTCAAAAAATTTGCAAGAAGAAAACAACCCCATCAAAAAGTGGGCGAAGGACATGAACAGACGCTTCTCAAAAGAAGACATTTATGCACCCAAAAAACACATGAAAAAATGCTCACCATCACTGGCCATCAGAGAAATGCAAATCAAAACCACAATGAGATACCATCTCACACCAGTTAGAATGGCAATCATTAAAAAGTCAGGAAACAACAGGTGCTGGAGGAGATGTGGAGAAATAGGAACACTTTTACACTGTTGGTGGGACTGTAAACTAGTTCAACCATTGTGGAAGTCAGTGTGGCAATTCGTCAGGGATCTAGAACTAGAAATACCATTTGACCCAGCCATCCCATTTCTGGGTATATACACAAAGGACTATAAATCATGCTGCTTTAAAGACACAGGCACACGTTTGTTTATTGCGGCACTATTCACAATAGCAAAGACTTGGAACCAACCCAAATGTCCAACAATGATAGACTGGATTAAGAAAATGTGGCACATATACACCGTGGAATACTATGCAGCCATAAAAAATGATGAGTTCATGTCCTTTGTAGGGACACGGATTAAATTGGAAATCATCATTCTCAGTAAACTATCACAAGAACAAAAAAACCAAACACCGCATGTTCTCACTCATAGGTGGGAATTGAACAATGAGATCACATGGACACAGGAAGGGGAACATCACACTCTGGGGACTGTTGTGATGAGGGGGGAGGGGAGAAGGATAGCATTGGGAGATATACCTAATGCTAAATGTCGAGTTAATGGGTGCAGCACACAAGCATGGTGCATGCGTACATATGTAACTAACCTGCACATTGTGCACATGTACCCTAAAACTTAAAGTATAATAATAATAAAATAAAAAAAGAAAAAAAAAAACTTCATGCCAATATTTTTGATGAACATTTATGCAAACATTCTTAACAAAATAGGGGCAAACCAAATCCAGCAGCGCATCAGAAAGCTTATCCACCACAATCAAGTAGGCTCCATCTGTGGGATGCAACTTTAATTCAACGTACACAAATCAATATGTGATTTATCACATAAACAGAACTAAAGACAAAAGCCACATGATTGTCTGAATAGATGCAGATAAATCTTTGCATCCATAAAATTCAACATCCATTCTTGTAAAAACTCTCAATAAACTAGGTATTGAAAAAAACATACTTCAATATAATAAGAACCATGTATGACAAACCCACAGCCAATATCATACTGAAAGGGCAAAAGCTGAAAGCATTCCCTTTTAAAACGGGCACAAGACAAGGATGCCCTCTCTCATGAATCCTATTTCAGATAGTATTGGAAGTACTGGGCAGAGCAATCAGGTAAGAGAAAAAGGCATTCAAATTGAAAGAAAAGAAATTAAACAACACCTGATGTCAGACGACATGATTCTATATCTTGAAAACCCCTATTGTCTCAACCCCAAAGCTTCTTAAGCTGATAAATATCTTTAACAAAGTCCCAAGATACAAAATAAATGGGCAAAAATCACTAGCACTAAATCCTTATATACCAACAACAGTCAAGCCAAGAGCAAAATCGTGAATGAACACTCATTCACAGTTACCACAAAAAGAATAAAATACCAAGGAATGTATCTAACAAGAGAAGTGAAAGGCCACTACAAGGAGAACTATAAACCACTTCTCAAAGAAATCAGACATGACATAAACAAATAGAAAAACATTTCATGCTTATGGATAGAAAGAGTTAATATTGTTAAAGTAGACACACTCCACAAAGAAATTTATAGAGTTAATAGTATTTCCGTTAAACTACCAATGACATTTTTCACAAAACTAGAAAAGCTATTTTAAAATTTATATGGAACCAACAAAGGCCTGAATAGTCAAGACAACCCCAAACAAAAAGAACTAAGCTGGAGGCATCACACTACCCAACTTCAAACTGTGCTACAGGGCTACAGAAACCAAAACAGCATGGTACTGGTACAAGAACAGACACACAGACCAATGAAACAGAATAGAGGACCCAGAAATAAGACTGCACACCTACAACTAACTGATCTTCGACAAACCTGACAAAAACAAGCAATGAAAAAACGACTCTGTACTCAATAAATGGTGCTGGGATAACTGCCTAGCCATGTGCAAAAAATTGAAACTGAACCCCTTCCTCCATCATCCTCTGCAACTAACACAGGAACAGAAAACTAACCACCGCATATTCTCACTCATAAGTGGGAGTTGAACAATAAGAACACATGGACACTGGAAGGGAAACAACACAACTGGGGCTAGTCAGGGAATGGGAGTCGAAGGGAGGGAGAGCATTAGGATAACTAGCTAATACATGTGGGACTTGAAGCCTGGATAACGGGCTGATAGGTGCAGTAAACCACCATGGCACACATATACCAATGTAACAAACCTACACATTCTGCACTTGTACTTCAGAACCCAATTTAAATTTAAAAAATAAAGAAAGATTCCTTACATCATATACAACAATAAACTCAACATGGTTTAAATGTAAAACCCAAGACTATAAAAACTTTGGAAGACAACCTAGGCAATACCATTCAGGACATAGGCATGGGCAAATATTTTATGATGAAGGCGCAAAAGCAATTAGAACAAAGAGAACATTGACAAATGGGATCTAATTAAACTAAAGAGCTTTTGCACAGCAAAAGAAACTATCAACAGAGTAAACAGACAATGTATAGAATGGGAGAAAATTTTTGCAAACTGTGCATCTGACAATAATCTAATTTCTAGCATCCATAAGGAACATAAATTTACACGAGAAAAACAAACAACCTTATTAAAAATTGGCCAAAGGACACACAGAAACACTTCTTGAAAGAAGACATACATGCAGCCAATAAGCGTATGAAACAGAAGTTCAACATCAGTGACCGTTAGAGAAATGTAAATCCAAACCACAATGAGATATCATTTTATACCAGGTATAATGGTTACCATGAAAAAATCAAAAAATCACAGATGCTGACAAAGTTGTGGAGAAAAAGCAACATTTTTACCCTGTTGGTCGAGTTCAAACGTTGTGGAAGACAGTGTGGTGATTCTTCAAAGACCTAAAGAAAAGAATACCATTTGACCTAGCAATCTCATTACTGGGTATATACCCAAACAAATATAAGTCATTCTATTATAAAGATACCTGCACGCACAAGTTCATCACAGCCCTATTCACAATAGCAAAGACATCAAATCAGCCTACATGTTCATCAATAATAGACTGGTTGAAGAAAACGTAGTTCATATACAACATGGAGTACTATGCAGCCATAAAAAAGCACAAGATTATGTCCTTTGTAGGGACATGGATGGAGCTGGAGGCCATTATCCTTAAAAAACTAACAGAAACAGAAAACCAAATACCACATTTTCTCACTTATAAGTGGAGGGTAGATGATGAGAACACACAGAAACATGGAGGGGAGCAACACGCACCAGGGCCTATCAGGAGGTAGGGGGTGAGAGGAGGGAGAGAATCAGAAAAAATAACTAATAGTTAGTAGACTTAATACCTGGGTGATAAAACAATCTGCACAACCAAACTTCGGGACGGTATGTTTCCATATTTAAAGAACCTGCACATCCTGCCCATATACCCCTGAACTTAAAACAAAGTTCAAAAAAGAAAAACATTTTAGCAAAATGACAGACTATTTTTGACTACCTTCGTGTACAGTTCAGAGTCAGACTGCCCAGCTCTAACATCCTTATTTATGAGAAAGAAAGCATTCTCTCTCTTATCTGCACTATTATATTGGGTTTTCTTTTTTAATTTTTTTGAGACGGAGTTTCACTCTTATTGCCCAGACTGGAGTGCAATGGCGCGATCTCGGTTCACCACAATCTCTACCTCCCGGGTTCAAGCGATTCTCCTGCCTCAGCCTCTCAAGAAGCAGGGATTACAGGCATGCACCACTACGCCTGGAAAATTTTGTATTTTTGGTAGAGACTGGGTTTCTCTATGTTGGTCAGGCTGGTCTTAAACTCCAGACCTCTGGTGATCCGTCTGCCTCAACCTCCCAATGTGTTGGGATAACAGGCGTGAACTACAGCACCCGGTCTGGGTTTTCTTCTATATGTAGGAAAATGTAATCCTAACTAAAGTGCTAGCTTTGCCATGGAATCTCTGTGTAATTCTGGATGTTATGTCACTTTCCTAAGACTTTTTTCTATCTGCGTAGTGGTGGAGGCAGTAGTGGGGAAGATTTAATTATACAAAGGGTCCATCAATCCATGTGTTAAGTGAGGATGTCACTACTTTCCAGACTCAGAGGACAGGGGACATATTGTTATGCTCCATGGGAAGCTGTTGAGGGGTGGAGGTGGGGCTCACTTGCACACATTGTCTGTGGGCCTTGAAAGATCAAGTGTGTATGACCCTTCTTGAACAGAAGGTCCATGTGCCCAGTGCAGAACCCATCTATTTCTTCCCAAGTGAGGAAGATCTGGGAACACCCTGATCACAGCCTTGCTACACCAATCCTAGTTGGTAGGGACGTTAGACCATATGCATGTTGAGCTGTGGCTTAAGCATTTTGACATCTCACATCTCATTGGATATCTGAAAAACTGAGGTCTGGAGAGAAGCAGGGACTGGCCCAGAGATGATGAAGTGGGCAGAGTCCAAGGGAAAAAAGAGCATTCTGACCTCCTAGGCCAGGGCTCAACACTCTCATGGGGTTTGTTTTGGGAATGAGTCCCTGAGATCCTGGGGATTTTTGCCAATTTTCTCGTCATATGAAGCAAACTCATGTCTGCATCATTAGACTTCCACAGGTTTGTGCATACACACACAGACTTCTCAGGCTAAAGGTCATAAGAGGAGTTAACGCTGATGGAGTGATGAGAAGAAAAAAGATAGAGGATAGGGGCAGCTTTGTCATGGGGTAGAAGCACCCCATCTTCTGGTAACATGCCCAGGACCCATAACATGGGCAGGGGAAGGCAATAGGCTGATGGCTTGAGAGGCTCAAGGCTTCCATGGATCTGACTGGGCTGCAGCCAACACCAGGATAGCTTTCCAAGGACAAAACCTTACTTTCTCCATTCATTAATCTGCATAATTAAAATGGTAAGGAATCCCCCTACACCCAATATGGAGAGGAATACAGTAGTGAAAACCTTCAATTTTTCCCTGTAAAAATTGACATAATTGAACTGTGTGACCCTTAAATTTGAAAGGCTTAAAGAAGTGAGTTGACCTTGCTGTCTATCAATTACCACTGTACTCTCAGAACTTTGGAAATTGCTCTGTGTCCTCCGAAGGTCTTTCAGAGCAGAAAGTGGCCTAGGGGTGTGCGGGACTGAGCACTCAGGCTGGTGTAGAATGTGACAGATCCTCAGACCACTGCTCTGGGATCCAAGGAGAAGACCTTCTCGGTCAGAGCTTTGGGGATCTTTTTTTTGGAGGGGGCGATCTTTTTTGAAAGTGGAGACAGAATCGTTTTCCAGGGCTCCCTCATTTGCCCTCCTGTTTCATAGTATTTCTTTTTTCTGTCTTTCTTTCTTTCTTTCTTTCTTTCTTTCTTTCTTTCTTTCTTTCTTTCTTTCTTCTTTCTTTCTTTCTTCTTTCTTTTTCTTTCTTTCTTCTTTCTTTCTTTCCTTCTTTTTCTTTCTCTTTCTTTCTTTCTCCTTCCTTTCTTTTCTTTCTTCCTTTCTTTCTTCTTTCTCTTTCTTTTGTTCTTCCTTCATTCCTTCCTTCCGTTTCTTTCTTTCTTCTTTCTTTCTTTCCTCTTCCTTCATTCCTTCCTTCCTTTTCTTTCTTTCTTTCTTTCTTTCTTTCTCTTTCTTTCTCCTTCCTTCCTCCCTCCCTTTCTTTTCTTTCTTTCCTTATTTTCTTTTTTCTTTCTTCTTTCTTTCTTTCTTTCTTCTTTCTTTCTTTCTTTCTTTCTTTCTTTCTTTATCAGAGTCTCTCTCTTCTCGCTCTTTCACGGGACTGGAGTGGAGTGGCATGATCTCGGCTCACTGCAACCTCCACCTCCCGGGTTCAAGTGATTCACTGCAACCTCCACCTCCCAGGTTCAAGTGATTCTCCTGCCTCAGCCTCCTGAGTAGCTGGGACTATAAGGGCGTGCCACCAAGCCTGGCTAATTTTTGTATTATTAGTAGAGACGGGGTTTCGCCATGTTGTCCAGGATGGTCTCGATCTCTTCACCTCGTGATCTGCTTGCATCAGCCTCTGAAAAAAACTGAGATTATAGGTGTGAGCCACCACACAAAGCCTACAGTTTATTTTTCTTTGCTTGTTAAAATGTTTTAGTCAGCTAAAATTTAGACAATATAGAGTTCTACATACTATCTAATATAAAGTGTAAAATTCAGTGCTTTTCAGTTTATTTACAATGCTATGCAACTGTCACCCCTATCAAATTCCAAAATAGTTTCATCACCCTTTCACAAAAAAAACTCCATATCCATTAAGCAGTAATTTATCATTCATCCACCGAATTTCCTTGGTAACCACTGATTGACTTTCTATCTCTAGTACTCTCTTTCTTTCTTTCCTTTTTTTTTTTTTTTTTTTGGTGTCTCACTCTGTCACCCATGCTAGAGTGCAGTGGCACGATCTCGGCTCGCTGCAAGCTCCACCTCCCTGGTTCACGCCATTCTCCTGCCTCAGCCTCCAGGGTAGCTGGGACTACAGATGCCTGTCAGCACGCCCAGCTATTTTTCTTTGTATTTTTAGTAGAGACGGGGTTTCACCATGTTAGCCAGCATGGTCTCGATCTCCTGACGTCGTGATCTGCCTGCTTCGGCCACCCAAAGTGCTGGGATTACAGGCGTGAGCCATCACACCCGGCTTCTATTTCTAGTTTTCTATTCTAGTCACTTTATAGAAATATAATAATATAATATGTGACCTTTTTTCTTTGGCTTTTCTCTTTGAGCGTGTTTTCATTATTTATCCATGTTGTGGCACATATCAGTTCTGTATTTATTTTTATGGCTAGCTAATACTCCATTGTATAAATAATATTCTATTGGCCAGGGACGATGGCTCACACCTATAAACTCAGTATTTTGGGAGGCTGAGGCTGGTGGATCACCTGAGGTCAGGAGTTCTAGACCAGCCTGGCTGACATGGTGAAACACTGTGTCTACTAAAAATACAAAAATTAGCCGGGCGTGGTTCCTGAAAGCCCAATTGCTCAGGAGGCTGAGGCCAGGGAATCTCTTGAACCCAGGAGGTGGAGGTTACAGTGAGCTGAGATCGTGCCACTGCACTCCAGCATGGGTGACAGAGCAAGACTGTCTCAAAAAAAAAGAAAGAAAATGAGAGGAAATATGTGCAAACTACACAGCTGACAAGCGATTGATAAGCAGAATACAGAATAAACAAAAAACTAAATAAAAAATTAGTTTAACTTTAAAATGGGCAATAATCTTCAGAAACATTTCTGGAAAATATAAGGGGCATAAACATAGAACCTAAAAGTTAGAGAAGAATTATGAAAAAACTGAAGGATATAGAAAAAATAATTTCAGACTATTCACATTAAAATTTAATTAGAGAGGGGGTGGAGCCAAGATGGGCGAATAGGAAAAGCCTTAGTCTAGAACTCCCAGCATCGGCAATGCAGAACACAGGTCATTTCTGCATTTCCAACTGAGGTACCGGGCTCATCTCACTGGGGAGTGTCAGAAAGTGGGTGCAGGACAGTGGGTGCAGCGCACCCCATGTGAGCCAAAGCATGGTGAGGCATCGCCTCACCCAGGAAGTGCAAGGGGTCAGGGAATACCCTTTCCTAGTCAAAGAAAGGGGTGACAGATTGCACCTGGAAAATCGGGTGACTCCCACCCTAACACTGTACTGTTCCAAAGGTCTTAGCAAACGGCATACCAGGAGATTATATCCTGCACCTGGCTCAGAGGGTCCTACGCCCACAGAGCCACAATCATTGCTAGCACAGCAGTCTGAGATCAAACTGCAAGGCAACAACAAGCCTGGGGGAGGGGCGCCCACCATTGCCGTGGCTTGAGTAGGTAAACAAAGCAGCCAGGAAGCTCCAACTGGGTGGAGCCAACTGCATCTCAAGGAGGCCTGCCTGACTCTGTAGACTCCACCTCTGGGGGCAGGGAATAGCCAAACAAATGGCAGCAGAATCCTCTGCAGACTTAAATGTCCCTGTCTGACAGCTTTGAAGAGAGTAGTGGTTATCCCAGCATGCAGCTGGAGATCTGAGAACAGACAGACTGCCTCCTCAAGTGGGTCCCTGACCCCCGAGTAGCCTATCTGGGAAGCATCCCCAGTAGGGGCAGACTGACACCTCACACGGCCGGGTACTCCTCTGAGACAAAATTTCCAGAGGAACAATCAGGCAGCAATATTTGCTTTTCACCAATATCCGCTGTTCTGCAGCCTCCACTGCTGATACCCAGGCAAACAGGGTCTGGAGTGGACCTCCAGCAAACTCCAACAGACCTGCAGCTGAGGGTTCTGACTGTTAGAAGGAAAACTAACAAACAGAAAGTACATCCACAACAAAATCCCATCTGTACATCACAATCATCAAAGACCAAAGGAGAGAAAACTACAAAGATGGGGAAAAAACAGAGCAGAAAAACGGAAAATTCTAAAAATCAGAGTATCTCTCCACCTCCAAAGGAACACAGCTCCTCACCAGCAATGGAACAAAGCTGGACAGAGAATGACTTTGACGAGTTGAGAGAAGAAGGCTTCAGACGATCAAACTACTCCGAGCTAAAGGAGGAAGTTCAAACCCATGGCAAAGAAGTGAAAAACCTTTAAAAAAATTAGATGAATAGCTAACTAGAATAACCAATGCAGAGAAGTTCGTAAAGGACCTGATGGAGCTGAAAACCAATGTACGAGAAGTACGTGATGAATGCACAAGCCTCAGTAGCCAATTCGATGAACTGGAAGAAAGGGTGTCAGTGATGGAAGATCAAATGAATGAAATGAAGTGAGAAAAGAAGTTTAGAGAGAAAAAGATAAAAAGAAATGAACAAAACCTCCAAGAAATATGGGACTGTGTGAAAAGACCAAATCTACATCTGATTGGTGTACCTGAAAGTTATGAGGAGAATGGAAGCAAGTTGGAAAACACTCTGAAGGATATTATCCATGAGAACTTCCCCAATCTAGCAAGGGAGGGTGACATTCAAATTCAGGAAATACAGAGAACACCAAAAAGATAATCCTCAAGAAGAGCAACTCCAAGACACATAATTGTCAGATTCACCAAAGTTGAAATGAAGGAAAAAATGTTAAGGGCAGCCAGAGAGAAAGGTCGGGTTACCCACAAAGGGAAGCCCATCAGACTAACAGCTGATCTCTCGGCAGAAACTCTACAAGCCAGAAGAGTGGGGGACAATATTCAACATTCTTAAAGAAAAGAATTTTCAATCCAGAATTTCATATTCATTCAAACTAAGCTTCATAAGTGAAGGAGAAATAAAATCCTTTACATACAAGCAAACGATGAGAGATTTTGTCACCACCAGGCCTGCCCTAAAAGAGCTCCTGAAGGAAGCACTAAACATGGAAAGGAACAACCGGTACCAGCCACTGCAAAAACATGCCAAGTTGTAAAGACCATCGAGGCTAGGAAGAAACTGCATCAACTAATGAGCAAAATAACCAGCTAACATCATAATGACAGGATCAAATGCACACAAAACAATATTAACCTTAAAAGTAAATGGACTAAATTCTCCCATTAAAAGACACAGACTGGCAAATTGGATAAAGAGTCAAGACCCATCAGTGTTCTGTATTCAGGAAACGCATCTCACGTGCAGAGACACACATAGGCTCAAAATAAAGGGATGGAGGAAGATCTACCAAGCAAATGGAAAACAGAAAAAGGCAGGGGTTACAATCCTAGTGTCTGATAAAACAGACTTTAAAACAATAAAGATCAAAAGAGACAAAGAAGTCCATTACGTAATGATAAAGGGATCAATGCAATAAGAAGAGCTAATTATCCTGAATATATATGCACCCAATATAGGAGCACACAGATTCATAAAGCAAGTCCTTAGAGACCTAGAAAGAGACTTAGACTCCCACACAATAGTAATGGGAGATTTTAACACCCACTGTCAACATTAGACATATCAATGAGACAGATAGTTAACAAGGATATCCAGGAATTGAACTCAGCTCTGCACCAAGCAGACCTAATAGACATCTACAGAACTCTCCACCCCAAATCAACAGAATATACATTCTTCTCAGCACCGCACCGCACTTATTCCAAAATTGACCACATAGTTGGAAGTAAAGCACTCCTCAGCAAATTGTAAAAGAACAGAAATTATAAAAACCTCTCTCTCAGACCACACTGCAATAAAACTAGAACTCAGGATTAAGAAACTCACTCAAAACCGCTCAACTACATGGAAACCAAACAACCTGCTCCCGAATGACTACTGGGTACATAACGAAACGAAGGCAGAAATAAAGATGTTCTTTGAAAGCAACGAGAACAAAGACACAACATACCAGAATCTATGGGACACATTCAAAGCAGCGTGTAGAGGGAAATTTATAGCACTAAAGGCCCACAAGAGAAAGCAGAGAAGATCTAAAATTGACACCCTAACATCACAATTAAAAGAACTAGAGAAGCAAGAGCAAACACATTCAAAAGCTAGCAGAAGGCAAGAAATAACTAAGATCAGAGCAGAATTGAAAGAAATAGACACATAAAAAACCCTTCAAAAAATCAGTGAATTCAGGAGCTGGTTTTTGAAACGATCAACAAAATTGATAGACTGCTAGCAAGACTAGTAAAGAAGAAAAGAGAGAAGAATCAAATAGACGCAATAAAAACTGATCATTTATGTGGCTCAAGTTCTCTAATATAACATAGTACGGTCAAAATGGAAGGGTAAAAATTGCAAGACCACCTTAACGTTTGTCATCTTAAGTGTACTATAAAAATGCCTTTTAAATTAATTCAGTGAATAGGTTTTTAAGTGCATGTTTTAGATTATGCTGAACTGTCAAATACCAGCACATCCCTAATTTGCAGTAGATTAACAACACTTTTTAGCACACATCACAGAGTTGTTCGGTGGCCAAATTGAAAAGGCACCTCCTCTCCATGTGGTCATTCAGAAACTCAAAGTTCTTTCATTATTTGTCTTCATCATCCATGAGTCGTGGTTGCCGTTTGTGTTCAGTCCCCTGAAAATAAAGTACTTTAAGAAATGCATGCGAGAAGACTTGATGGACTCATCTTAATGTGACTCACATCCATCTCACTCTACAACCATTAACAATAACTGGTCACGTTTCCACATCTAATGCAAATGAGGCTAAGAAATGTAATTCTGCTGTGTCCCTAATAAATGGGAGAATAGAATTTGTTGAATGACCAGAGTTTTCCGTAACATTGTGTCACTCATATGGATTTACTGTGTTTCTCAAATATTTATTAAACATCTGTCATAGCCAAGCACTGTGATAAGGAGTACAGGGAGGACAGAGAGCTGACTCAGCAGAGTCCTAGTCTGAAAGAAACTCACAATCTAAGAAAATAAGAAAAGTCATGTTAGGTGCTGCTATAAAGGCACATGCACACGTATGTTTATTGTGGCACTACTCACAATGCAAATACTTGGAACCAACCGAAATGTCCAACAATGATAGACTGGATCAAGCAAATGTGGCCCATATACACCATGGAATACTATGCAGCCATAAAAAATGATGAGTTCATGTCCTTTGTGTGTACATGAATGAAGCTGGAAAAGATAATTCTCAGCAAACTATCACAAGGACAAAAAAAAACAAACACCACATGTTCTCGCTTATAGGTGGGAATTGAACAATGAGAACACTTGGACACAGGAAGGGTAACATTACCCACTGGGGAATGTTGTTGGGGGGGGCGGGGGGAGGGATAGCATTTGGAGATATACCTAATGTAAATGACGAGTTAATGGGTGCAGCTCACCAACATGGCACATGTATACATAAGTAACAAACCTGCACGTTGTGCACATGTACCCTAGAACTTAAAGTATAATAAATATATGTATAACATACGTATATATTATATACATGTTCAAGGGATTCTCCTGCCTCAGCCTCCCAAGTAGCTGGGATTACAAGCGCTGCCATTACTCCCAGCTATTTTTTGTATTTTTAGTAGAGAAGGAGTTTTGCCATGTTGGCCAGGACGGTCTGGATCTCCTGACCTCATGATCCACACCCCTTGGCCTCCCAGAGTGCTGGGATTACAGGTGTGAGCCACAGCCCCCGGCCTATATGAGTTTTCAAATAGTTTTTTCTAGCTCCGTAAAAAATTTCATTGGCAGTTTGATGGAAATAGTATTAAATCTGTAAATTTCTTTGTGAAGTATAGCCATTTTAGTGATATTGGATCTTCCTATCCGTGAGCATGGGATGGTTTTCCATTTGTTTGTATCTTCTCTGATTTCTTTGAGCAGTGTTTTGTAAATCTCATTGTAGAGCTCTTTCACCTCCCTGGTGAGCTGCATTTCCAGATATTTTATTATTTTAGTGGCAATTGTGAATGGGATGGCCTTTCTGATTTTGCTGTCAGTGTGGCTATCGTTGGTGTAGAAAAATGTTAGTGATCTTTGCACATTGATTTAGTATCTTGAAACTTTGCTGAAGCTGTTTGTTAACTAAAGAAGCTTTGTAGATGAAACTACAGGGTTTTCTAGATAGAGAATTATGTTATCTGCAAACAGAAATAGTTTGGCTTTCTCTCTTCCTATTTGGATGTTCTTCGGATTTCTTTCTCTAGCCTGATTGCTCTGGTCAGTACTGTCAATACTAAGTTGAATAGAAATGGCAAGAGAGGGCATTCTTGCCTTCTACTGGTTTTAAAAAATAATGTTCCCGGCTTTTGCCCATTCAACACATTGTTGGCTGTGGGTTTCTTATAGACGGCTTTTATTATTTTCTGCGTCTATTGAGATAATCATCTTTTTTTTGTTTTTAGTTCTGTTTATGTAATGTATTACATTTATTGATTTGCACATGATGGACCAACCTTGCGTCCTAAGGAGGAAGCCTACTTGATCATGACGGATTACCTGTTTGATGTGCTGCTGGATTTGCCTCCCAAATATTTTGTTGAGAACTTTTGTATTGATGTTCGTCAAGAATATTGGCCTGAAGTTTTCTTTCCCTTCTTTCTTTTTTTTTTTTTTTTTTGACGGTGTCTCCCTCTGTTGCCCAGGCTGGAGTGGATTGCACTGGCGCGATCTCTGCTTAATGCAATCTCTGCCTCCTGAGTTCACGCCATTCTCCTGCTTCAGCCTCCCAAGTAGCTGGGACTACAGGTGTCTGCTACCAAGCCCGGCTAATTTTTTGTGTTTTTGTTGTGTCTCTGCCTGTTTTGGTGTCAAGATCATGCTGTCCTCATAGAATGAGTTGGGGAGAAGACCCTCCTTCTCAATTTTTGGGTATAGTTTCTGTAGGAATTGTACCAGCTCTTCTTTGTACATTTGGTAGAATTTGGCTGTAAGTCCATAAAGTCCAGAGCTTTTTTTTTTGATTGGCAAGCTACTTATTACCTATTTAATATCAGAGTTTTTTACTGGTCTGTTCAGGAAATCATTGTCTTCCTGGCTTAATCTTGAGAGAGTGTGTATATCTAGGAATCTATTTATTTCGTTAAAGTTTTCTAGTTTGTGTGTATAAAGTTGTTCATGTTAGTGCTGTCCCCAGTTAAATAAAAACAACTATTAGAAACCACTAAAGTTTAACACTTGTTTTTATATCTTTAATCAATTTTTATTTAATTTTTCTACTTGGAATGTGATAAAGATTCAACTTTACTGGTTTAAATGTGGACTTGTTTTCCCAGCATTTCTTGTGTAACAAACTGTCTTTACATAATGATTAAGGCACACTTTTAAAAAGACAAACAATAATTTATGAAAGGGTTTTTTGGAGTATCTATTTTATTTATTTGATCTCCACAATTGTTCTTATGCCACTATCAAACTGTTATAATTATAGTAGCTTTTTATGTTTTCAAATTTAAAATTGTGAGCCACCTAATTTTGTCCTTCTTTTCAAGATTATTCTGTACATTCAGAGGATGTTCAAATTCCATATGAAGTTTTAAATGAGCTATTTTCTTTTTGCAGAAGAAAAGTTGGAAAAATGAAAACTTGGGATTACAGTACATCTGTACACTCCTTTGGGCAGTGGTATTGTCATCTTAACTTCATTAAATCTTCCGGTTCAGGAACATGGAATTTGTTGCCAGTTATTTAAGTCCTTTTTAGTTTTTTTCATAAACATTCTGATCCTGTATTTTTTATTGTACAAGATATTTACCTCCTTATTAAATTTATTGCTAAGAATTATATTATTTTAATGTTGTTGCGAACAATTGTTTTCTTAATTTACTGTCAAATTGTTAATTGTATATGGAAATGCAGTTTATGTTTCTGTGTTGTAAAAATAATTATTTCATGTCTCAAATCTAGATTAGCAATTCATTCAGAATAAATATGCTGTATATATTACTAGTCATTTAACTTTTTCCAATAAGGTAACCAATTTCAATATGTCTAAATATGTAAAAATGTTAAATTGTGTTAGATTTTTCACTTACTCTCACCTGTCATTTATCTGTCAGAATTACATTACTGCGCACTAGAACTTTCATTTCTGGGGCCGGGCACGGAGGCTCATGCCTATATTCCTAGCACTTTGTGAGGCCAAGGCAGGCGGACCACCTGAGATCAGGAGTTCGAGACCTGTCTGGCCAATATGGTAAAACCCCGCCTCTACTAAAAATACAAAAATAAGCTGAGCGTGGTCTTGGGAGACTGTATTCCCAGCTACTTTGGAGGCTGACAGTGGAGAATCACTTGAACAATCCCACAACACAAAACAACCGAGGTTAGTCTTCATGTCGAAAGTCTTCAATGGATTGTCTTTTATCACAGGATTGCTTAGTGCAACATTTAATGGGAAAGATGCATGCTACTGAGATGTAGTTCTCCACAAGTCTCTCAGAGTTTGTTGTTTTGTTGTGGATTACATCACATACCTGTCCTGTTCCACGCTATTTTTCAAAGATTTTTGTACACAAATAACCTGGAAAAAGGGTAGTAGTTTTTCTCTTCAGGTGAATGGCAGATAAATTACTCAATCAATATAATAAAGACAATTTTTCTTTGTGACGCAAAGGTTGGACAGGCTTCCATGTAACCTACTTTAAAAAGATTGAGGTTTCTTAGTCTTGAGTCTGCTCAGCTATGACACAAATCTTCCCCATGTACAATGTCCATATGAGCCTTTTGAAATCCTTCAAAAAACGTAGTATGGACAAGGAGAACTAATACAAATATGAGGCTTTTGCCTCCAGGTAAGCAGTAAATAGTAGGTATTTTTTTTCATACTTCAGTGTCTCATGCCTTCTACCAGCATCGATGAAAATGGAAGGTTAATATGTTGTTTACAAATGCTATAAAATCTTAGATACGTCACAATTATTTAATTTTGGAGATGACTATGGCATGCTGAGATAAACACAACTTTCTGAAAGGGGAAAAGGAACAAATACTTGAAGAGCTTGCAAGGGATATGAGAAGTTCCCCCAGGACCAACAGCAAATTCTCTCGGCCAAGTGGTTAGTTTGGTGAAGCAAGAGATCAAGACTCTGCTGTCTGCTAATGAGACTGATCCTTGAGAGGATTATAACAATGAACCTGAGAGCTTTGCATGTTCACTTTTCTCCTGCTGGAAAATCAAGGAGCTCTTAAAGCTAATGTTGAGGTTTGGATGAGTCCAAAACAGTAGAAGTTCATGTGGTTCAGCTGTGAGCAGCAAAAAGACTGCAAAAAGCCACATTAAGCAGGTTTTGTAAGTCTCTCCTTTACCCACATGAAGGAACCCATTCCCTCTGCACTTCTAATTTTTGTCCTTTGTCTACAGCTAACTTCAGCAACTTTAAATATTAAACTACATACGATTGGAGGTTTGGATGGGGGAACACAAATATATGTAGTTCCTTTGGATATATGTATCTAATTCACCATTCTGTGGAGTCCCTTAGGGTGCACAGGGAGATATAGGTGTTAGGGTGGCTGGAAATGCTGACAAACCTATCATTCTATTAATCCAGTTGCTTCCAGATAATGGAAAGCATGGTAAGTCCACTGACATCCGTGAAGATGAGCACACTGCTACACTTTGGCTGTGAAGTGAGTTTCTTGGTCTGAGCAATGCTAAGTGGAATATCATAGGGATGGATGAGGGATTCTGTGAGTCCATGGAGGGTAGTTTTGGCAGAATTCCACCCAGGGAAAGCAAATTTGTATCCATAGTAAGAGCCTACTCCAGTGAGTACAAACTGTTGCCGCCTATATTATAAAAGTTATTCAACGTAATAAATTTACTACCAGGTGCCTGGTGGATCACCCTGGAAATGATGTCATATCAAAGCCTCAGTGTAGATCTGTGCTGCTGTCAAATTAAACATTCAGAATTGACTGTAGCCAGACTGGCCTTTGGGATTCAAAGTTCATATTGCTTAGCCCGTGCGTTGCTTCTATTTCTGCTACTATGTTCACCTTGTTTATAAGCCCATTGGGTGATGATGGGGGTGACAGGGAAGTAAGAATGACCCATACTCACGGAACAAGACATTCTGTCCACATCATTATCAAAATCATGCTCTGATACGGTTACCCCTTAGTAGGGATTCATATAGAACAGACATATCTTTATGTAATTTACCCAGTGAGAGAAGTTTATCCACAAAAGTTTTTCTATTTTTTTTTTTTTTTTTTTGCCAGGAATTTTGTAATCATGTTCCTTCCGTGTCATTGGTCATGTAGCCAATTCATGGGCCACAGCAGTGTTGCAGGAGTGAGTATCATAGGATCTCAAACTCCTGTTCTTAAGCAATCCTTGCCTCAACCTCTTAAGTAGCTGAGACTATAGGTGCACCCCACAACGCCTAGCTAATTTTGTTTTATTTTTAGTAGAGATTAGATTTTGCTATGTTTTCCAGGCTGTTCTCACACTCCCCACCTTAAGCGATTCTCCCAGCTTTGCCTGCAAAGTGCTTTGACTAGAGTCAAACCTCCACACCCAGCACCTATAATTTGATATTTTAAACAATACTATGTAGCGAAAGCGATTACGAAGTTATCTAGGGAAAGAAAGCTCACTATCACAGTGTAAAATTGTATAGATATGATGCGGGCATGTGTGTATACATGCTTGCTTGTGTGCATAGGTGCGTGTTTTCTGAGAAATGGTACCTTATTGCTACCAGGCTAGGATAGCATTCATGTTCTTCTGAAGATGTCAAATATTGAAGCTCCAGGATTCATAGAACAAGATTCCTAAGTGGTTCACGAGAGGGTGAACGATTGAGTAATGGGTATTTTGGAAGAAACAACTGGCCTAGGGACAAGAATAAGTGTGCAAATCATCTGTGTGAAACACGCTTTCTTCGGAGCACGCATTTCATGCACTTCATTCTACTGTGACAGATATTGCTACTCTGAGTTTGGGAGAGATTGAACCTAGGGTCTACTGTGAAACTCTGTAGACTAGACTTCTGTCTGAGGCAGCCCCTGCCTGTAACCGTAACCTGCGCCAAACTCCAATGGAGCATTCTTCTCAATGGATAAATGGAAATTCCGGATGATCCGATGGGCAGAGAGTGCGACTGTTTTTTTCAGGAGCTCTGGTTGAATGGTTTTGGGGACTTTCTGGGAGGATGCTCTGCACCCAGAAAAGTAGTCCAACGGGAATCATGAGAAAATGGGCGACTCCGTGTGCCTCCGTCCCCTCCTACTTCCTCACCCACCCCTCCATCAGGGATCCCACGTATTCCAGGATGACACGTGTTTTAGTTGTCTTTGGGCGACAACTAGCGGCAACCGTTATTGAAAATGTAAGCTGTAGAGAACAAAAAAACTCTGGTCGCCTGTTCACAGCTCACTCACTGCAACGTTGAATCCTGGGCTTAAGCAATCCTCCTGCCTCAGCTTCCTGAGTAGCTGGAAATATAGGCATGTGCCACAATGCTGGGCAATATTTTTAAGTAGTGGTAATCTCTCTCGATGTGTTGCCCAGGTTAGTCTCAAACTCCTGTCCTCTATCCAGCCTCCCACCTTGGTCTTCAGAAGTCCTGGGATTACAGGCTTGAGCCACTGTGCTCACTCCTATAATTTGATGTTTTCAACAATACTATGTAGTGAAATGCATCACGAAGACATTTTGCAAAAGAAAGCTCACTATCACATATAAACTTGTATACTTGTCATGTGCTCACGTGAGCGCATGTTCTTGCCTGTCTGAATGTTTTCTGAGAACTGATCATCTTTTCCCCAGGGACACTGGTTGAAGAGCTGCGGGGATTGTCTGGGAGGGTGTCTCGGGCCCGGAAACGTAATCCAGGAGAGATCAGAAGACCGGCGACCCCATGGGCCTCCATCTCTTTCTCCTTCCTTGACAACCCCTAAACCAGTGACCCCACTCATTCCAGGCTGGAACGTCGTTCGGTTGTCATTTGGCGTCACCTAGCGGTCACTGTTATTGAAAATGGAGGCATCACACCAAAACTTCTGGCCGCCCGCGCACAGCCAGGGAAAACTGGTTTCTCTCGGGCCCCACCCTGACCTCAGAGGCACTCCTTCTGTCCCTCCCCCTATGCCTTGTTGCCTAGGAAACCTCCACCCTGGCTGGGAATGCTTATTTCTTTATTTATTTAGAGACAGAGACAGTTTCGCTCTTGTAGCCCAGGTTGAAGTTCAATGGCGCCATCTCGGCTCACTGCAACCTCTGCCTCCTGGATTCAAGCGATTCTCCTGCCTCAGCCTCCCCACTAGCTGGTATTACATGTGCCTGCCTCTACTCCCAGCAAATTTTTGTAGTTTTAGTAGGGACGTCATTTCGCCATGTTGGCCAGTCTGTTCTCGAAGTCCTGACTTCAGATGATCCACCCACCTCAGCCTCTTAAAGTGCTGAGTTTACAGAAATAAGCCAGGGCGCCTAGGCTATCATTTGTTTTTCTTTCTTCCTTTTTTTTTTTTTTTTTTTTTTTAGTAAGCATGAACAGTTCTACCTGGGTTTTAAAAATTGTGTGTGTGAAAGAAAAATAAATCTTGAGGCTTCCAAATCACTAAAGTAAAGGGAAAAGTCAAGCTGGCAACTGTTTAGGGCCAAACTGCCATTCTATTCAAAGTCACTCCTCTGCTCTTTTCTCTTTTTTTTTTTCTTTTTTGAGATGGAGTCTCGCTCAGATGCTCAAGCTGGAGCCCAGTGGAGCAATCTCGGCTCACTGCAACATTCACCTCCTGGTTTCAAGCGATAAATGTATATTTGATTGCCTCCTTTGGAGAGGCTAATTAGAAACTCCAAAGAATGCAACCATTTGTCTCTTAACTACCTTTGACCAGGAAGTCCCCTCCTCACTTTCAGTCTTCCCGCGTTTGCTAATTTGTCCCGCCTTTGCAGACCGAACCAATGTTCATCTTGCATACTTTGATTGATGTCTCATATCTCCCTAGAATGTATAAAACGATAATGTTCTCTGTTTACCTTAGGCACATGTCCTCAGAACCTCCTGAGGCTGTCACGGGTATGCGTCCTGAACCTTGGTTACGTAAACTTTCTAAATTAACTGAGACCTCTCTCAAGTTTTCAGGGTTCACAACGGAAAGTGCATTGTAGCTCCACCCTAGGGCTTATCATTAAGAAAATCTATCCTAAATCTCTGCAGATACAGTCAAACCGGTTGTATGTAAACTGTATGAAACTAAATGCACTTATTACAAGTAAATGAATAAATGCTGAGAAAAAAAATCATGAACCGCTCACCTTTCAAAGAAGCAATAATACTATGAATTATGTGTAATTTCCAGAGTCAGCTAGTTTCAAAATTGTCCCCACTAAACTTGGAAAGGTTCCAGAGTGAGCTATTGTGCCTCCAGCCTTTGCTCCTCCCCCTTCTTTCCCCTGCGCCTTCCCCTCAACCTTTGCCGGCAATCACATTCTCTGATTCTGCAAAAGCAGGTGGGAGCCCTAGAGAGAGTTCTCGTTTTTTTTTTTTTTTTTTTTTTTTTCTTTTTTGAGATGGAGTCTCGCTTAGAGGCTCAGGATGGAGCCCAATGGAGCAATCTCGGCTCACTGCAACATCCGCTTCCTGGTTTCAGGCGATTCTCCTGCCTCAGCCTACCGAGGAGCTGGGTTAACAGGCACCCGTTATTATGCCCAGCTAATTTTTGTATTTTCATAGAGACAGGGTTTAACCATGTTGGCCACGCTGGACTCGAACTCCTGCCATCAGGTGATCCGTCAGCCTCAGCCTTTCAATGTGCCGGGATTACAGGCGTGAGCCACTGTGGCCAGCGAGTTCTCTTTTCTTTGTGAAGGGCAAGGCAAAGTGGAATGGATTCATCTAAAAGCGGAGTGCATGCCCTGGAAAGCATCATGGTTAGACCCATGTGAGACAGGTTAGTTTTACTGCGTGTGTTCTCCATGTGTTGTTGCCCATGTGTTGCTACCATGGTAATCCTGCTGAGTATGAGAGGAATCAAAGTTTCACACATTTGGTGTATGTGCTTGACTGAGGAACCAATGGGGTGAAGCTACCATCTGTGGGATTATGACTGAACGCCTCTAAATCAGAATCCCGCCCAGAAGAAAGGATGCAGCGGCGCTGGCAAGACTCGGTTGGCCTCAGATAGCCAGTCCCCAGCCTTTGCCACCGGCCGGACGCTCCGCCCCGCTGTGCGCCAAGACCTTGCTCCGGTCTTATCATCCTAAAAAACGGGGTGCGGCCCCCCATCCTAAAAAACGGGGTGCGGCCAGAAAGGCGTTTGCTCCCTGGCCCGTCACATAACATGCTCATGGGGAATCTGATACTAAACTATTGGTAAACGCCCTGCTTCTGGGTCAGGGTTTCCTATGGAGCAGAGCAACTCCCTCACTGCAACCTATTGAAAGTCAGCCCTCCACACAAGGGGCTCTCAACCAGTGTGCGGGAAAGCTAGCGTTGTGGCGTGTCCTGTATAATTCAGCCCTGGACCTCTACCTTCCTTCTTCCCTCCTTTTGCCCCCGGGGACTTAGTTCCCGGGCCTGCTCAGGCCCCCCGCCCCGGAGCCCCAGGGCATGCAGGGCTGTCTCTCGCGAGATAACATTGGCGTCGGCCGTGCATTTGGGAGGGGTCGTTCCCCAACAGCAGGCTTTCCAAGATGCAGCGCTGGGGGTTGCGAGGTAGGGTTGGCGCCCCTGCTCGATGTTCCACCTCTCTGATTGAGCTTCTTTCTCCCATCCCGCTGGGAATTCCTCCACGAGTTGGGACCGGATTCTTCGAGCCTCGTGCGAATGGCTGAGGCGCGGGTGTCAGAGGTTTTGCCCCTGCAGTCCCTGCCTGAGTAGTGTTCGCGCGATGCCCGTGGGTGGCTGTTGGGGTCACAGTCCCTCTCCCCGCCTCAGGGGTGCTGGGATGAAAGACTAGCTAGTCACTACCCTTGTGTCTTTACTCCTCTTCTCTGTCCGGGTCAACCAGCGGACTGCGGGGAAATGGCTGGCAGGTCTGCCAAGTTAGACGGCCTCAAACCTGGGCCGGTTCTGTGTGATAAGGTTCCAACTGCGTCTGATCGCTTCCCTCCGCGAGCACCACATTTGGTCTTTAGGGTGGACCCTGTCGATTAGATGCTGGCGTTTGGCTTCCCGATCAGCCCGCGAATCAGCCGACTGCGGGAAGCAAGCAACATCCAGTTGACACGGCCGCGGGCTTCTCTGTCTGGAAGACCTGGGACCAGGGCCTAAGGCCCCAGTCCTCAGGTCTCTGGTCGCCGTGCCCACCTGATGTCCGCGGCAAGCGTTGGACTTGACCGTCAACTTGGGATTTCTAAGGTAGACCAGATAACTTTGGTCAGCAGCAGTACCGCCCGCATTCACTAGGTGTCGCTTTTTCCTTGCGTTGTTTCTTCCTCTCCAACTGTTTCCACAGTACTTTCAGTTTCTCTTCGTTTTGTTTTTCTTTTATTTTTCTTGCTCCTCTTTCTACACACTGAAGTTGCTGTTGTTTTACATTTACCTTTTATTTATTTGTAGTTTTTGAGGCAGGTTGGAGTGTAAGAATGCAATCTCGGCTTACAGCCGCCTCGACTTTCCAGGACTCCCTCAGGTGATCTTCCTATCTCAGCCTTCCAAGTGGCTGAGACTACAGGAATCACTTAATTCTGTGATGTCGAAGCTGAAGTGAGCCGTGATGATGCCTTGCCCTCCAGTCTGAGTGTTTCAGAAGGTAAGAGAGACAGGTTAAAGAAAAAAATTCCTTGAAATAAACTGCAATTAATTGTGATCTAAATTACCTTTTATAGTTTTTCACTCCCACGAGTTTGTTTATTATTATTGCTGCTTATTATTTCTTTGTATTATTGTTTGTCATTATTGTTATTGTTTTTATTATTTATGTAATTATTTAGAGATGGAGTCTTCCTCTATCACCCAGAGTGCAGTGCAGTGGCGCGACTTTGGGTCACTGCAGCTTCAAATGCCTGGGTTCAAATTCGCAATATGGCGAAACACCCTGTTTACTAAAATCTGTCAATGACACCTTCAGGACCGTTGGTTGTGGCGGCTGCAATTTCGGAGGCTGAGGAGGGCAGTTCGCTAGAGCTCGGGAGTTCAAGACAGCCTCGGAAACAGACTGCAGAGCATTTGTCTGACCAAGACCCGCTGCAGCCTCCACCTCCCGACCCCAAGCGATGTTCTCAACTCAGGCTCCAAAGGATCTGGGACCACAGGCGCCTGCCATCACAATGCCCGGATTTTTTTCTTTTCTTTTCTTTTTCAGTAGAGACGGGGTCTCACTGTGTTGCCAGGGCTGGTCTCAAAGTCCTAGGCTTTAGCAATTCTTCCAACTCAGCCTCCCAAAGTGCTGGGATTATAGGTGTGAGCCACAATGCCCTGCCCTCTTTTTTATTTCCTTCATTTTTTCTCTTTTTTTCTTTCTCTTTCTTTCTGTCTTTTCTTTTTCTTCTCTCTTTTTCTTCCTCCCTTTTTTCTCTCATTTCTCATTCTTTTTTTTTCTGTTTCTATGTCTTTTGGTTTTCTTTTTCATCTTTCTTCCCTTTACATCTCTGTCTGTCTATTTTCTTTTTCTTGATCTTCCTTACTCTCTCTCTCTTTTCTTCATTTCTTTCTTTCCATCCCTCTGTCTGTCTGTCTTTGTGTGGATTTTGGAAAATTCTCCTTATTCTGTATCTCCCTGTGTATCACAAGCCTCTGTGACTTTCACTTTGTTGTTTTTCCTCCTTGTCGCGTAAAAGGCATTCACTGCTCTTTTATTTTGGTGCTCTGTGGATGTTCGAAGGGTGGGGAAAAAGTGGTCCACGAATGTGATTGGTTTCATGAGAGACACGAGAGACAAAAGAACATATGATGATTACTTCGCTAAATGCCCTGTTTATTCTTTCAACTGCACTCATACAAGTAAGGACGCAGTTGGTGGGTTGAGAGATCTCTGTGTAGTCATGACTCTGCAATTATACTTGACGAGAGCGGTGATGATGAACGGGCGGCATGGAAACCTGCCCTTCTTTGGTCTCAGTTGAGCACAGTGAGAAGAGATTCACAATGGCCTGTATCTCAACCTGATGGTACTGTGTTTCTGCTCTGATCTTTAGGAATGAGAGAAGCATTCCCGTGCATTCCTGCAACGTCCTTGAAGTTTTCTTTTTAAACTTTTCGATTAACTAACGTATTTATTAATTTATTTGAGATGGAGTCTTGTTCTGTTGGTCAGGCCATGGCGCAGTATCGGGCCACTGCAACCTCCGCCTCCCAGGTTCCAGCGATTCTCTTGCCTTAGCCTCTCGAGTAGCTGGGATAACAGGCACGTGCCACCATACCCAGCTAACTTTTACCTTTTTAGTAAAGACAGGGTTTTCCCATGTTGCCCAGGCTGGTCTTGAACTCCGACTTCCAGGAATCCTGTGGCCTCGTCCTCCCAAAGTGCTGGGAGATCCCAGGTCATCAGACTCGAGAAAGAATGTTGGTTGATATAGAAAGGCGAGACACACTGCGCCCGACCCAAATTGCTATTTTTAAAAATAAACCAGTAGGCTGGGTGCAGTGGGTCACTCCTCTCATCTCAGCAGTTTGCTAGGCGGATGTGGGAGGATTACGAGGTCAGGAGTTTGAGACCAGCCTGGCCAACATAGTCAAACTCTGTCTGTATGAAGAATACAAAAATTAACCAGGTGTGGTGTCACGCACCTCTACTCCCAGCTACTCTATATGCTGAGGTAGTAGAATCTGTTGAAGCCGGGAGATGGAGATTGCAGTCAGCCCAGATCATGCCACTGGACTCCAGCTTGGGTGACAGAGTCAGATTCCATCTAAAAAAAAAAAAAGTAATTAAAAATAAGTGAGTTTCCAAGAAGAAATAGAAACCCGCAGTGACACAAACATATGCATCTCACCTTTCGAGGCAGCAATGACACTACAAACTTGTAAACTCAGTTCATTTCTTGACTGCGGACCATGGGTATTTGTGATGCTTCCTCTTGGAACATAGTTCTGTGTGACACCATACCCAGCTAACATTTGCCTTTTTAGTAGTCAGAATTTTGCTATATTGCCCAGACTGCTCTTGAACTCATGAACTCCAGGTATCCGCCCGCCCAAAAAAAAGAGTTGTGATGAAAGGAGACACACAGATGGATTTCAGCCCTTAAAATGGTGCATGCTGCCACATTTCACAGATCTTCCCTGGGCCTTACTGGTATTTGCCCAACATAGAAATGCTTTCTAAAAAGTGACAATTTGCTTACATAATATTTCCACAAGCGATGCCTTGGTCTGTGTTTGTTTTTACGTTTTGTTTTGTTTGTAGTTTTTACTTTACTTATCTCTTTTCAGTTGAAGTAGATTTTACCAATTTTAGGAAGATGTGTATTTTCCCCAAAACCTGTTAGCTGGTGTTTTCTTCGGTCATTAAGTAGCGATTTTCGGAATCTCTCAAGGTACAGTGAGAGCCGATTGATATAAACTATACTTCATAAAATCTTCTTTCCTTTTCATTTTTTTTTTTTTTTTTTTGTCTTTCAGGTGGAGTTTCGCTCTTATTGCCCAGGCTGGAGTTCAGTGGCGCGACCTCAGCTCACCGCAACCTCTGCCGCCTGTGTTCAAGAGATTTTCCAGTCTTCACCCTTTCGAGTAGCTGAAACCACAGGCAAACACCTCCAGGCCTGGCTAATTTTTTTTTTTTCATAGAGACTAGGTAGCTCCATAATGGTCAGGCTGGTCTAGAACACCCAACCTGAGGCGTACCACCCAACTTGACCACCCAAAGTGCTGAGATTAAAGGCGTGAGCTCCGCGTCTGGCCATAACATCTTATCCTATAGAAGCCCAGAGAGGTTAGGTATGTAGTCCCTGAGACCAGCCTTCCTTGGATGAACTCCAAAGTGATGGCTGAGGATTAGGGAGTGTGGGGGGGGGGGCTGGAAAGTCGGTCCCCTATTGTTGCTACCTAGGCCATGACATCCCCAGACTCCCATCGCCTGCTCACCGTTTGAGATTCCCCCCCACCACCGCCTTGGTGGCTGAACTCTTACTTTAATTTCTGTCTTTCTTCGTTTGTTGGGTTTCAGGAGGGGGTGCAGGAAAGACGGTGTGCGTGGGGAGGGGGTGTAGGGTGGGGATGGAGGGGAGCGTCCTAAGGGTCGATGTAGTGTCATGCCTCTTTCATCACCACCACCGAAGATGAAACAATAATCATCTAAATACCGCGTGTTCTCACACATAAGTGGGAACTACATAATGAGAATGCATGCGAAGAACTAGGGGGACGAGAGACGCAGGAGCCTACCTGAGGGAGGACGTGTGGAAGGACAGACAGCTTCAGGACAAAGCAAAACGAGCAGAACACAAAAACTGTAGGGGACTGCGCTGAGAATCCGGGTGAGGAAATCATCGGCACACTGAACCCCCTACTCAGAAGTTTACCTATGAAACAATCTTGCACATGTATGCTTCAAAAACAAATAACAGTTAGGGAAGAAAGAGAGAGAGAGAGAAAGAGAGAGAGACAAGTAAAATAAAGCACCACCTCCTTGACCTGACTCAGGGCGTTTGGGGTCTTCTGGGGAAATGTTCTGAAACAATGGAGTATTTTGGTCTGTTCTTTCTTGTGTCTTTTTTTTTTTTTTTAAGACGGACTCTCGCTCAGCCACCCAGGCTGGAATGCAGTGGTGCACTGGGTTCACTGCAGCAAATATCTCCCGGGTTGAAGCGATTCTCCAGTCTCATCCTCCTGAGTGGCCGGGATTACAGTCACGCGCCATAATGCCCTGCTAATTTTTGAATATTAGTAGAGAAGGGGTATTGCCATGCTTGCGACGCTGGACTTGAAGGC